>NC_000005.10:82837079-83140110 GCF_000001405.40 Homo sapiens
CAGTATCCTCACCTGATGAAGAGAAGACACCCTGGTGTCTCTTTTTCTCTTGTAAGGGCATTAATGCCATCACTAGGGGCTCCACCCTCATGGTATTATCTAAACCTAGCTATCTCTCAAAGGCCTCAATTTCTAATGCCATCACATTGGAGATTAGGGCATCAAAATATGGATGTGGGGGGCACACAAATGTTCAGTCTGTAAGATGGCTGGTGAGTTGGCCATGTCTTGTTAGAGTAATAGTTGACTATCCAGAATAGTTACCCTGTAGACAATTGCGTGCACCATCATAGTACTCAGCAAAGACTTACCTAAGTTCAGGATTTGGGTTTTTTAAGTCATCAACCTAAAGATCATGGTTTAAACCAAAGATGTACCTAAGGTGACACATGTAGACAGTATAAAGTGAACAAAGAAGAGGGCCAAAACCCCTGGATACTCCAAGGGACACAGAGAGAAAGGAATCTGCTTAGGAAACTAGAAGATTCTGTTAGAAAAGGAGGAGAAAGGGAATGTGGAATCAAAGAAGCGAGAGGAGTCAAAGATCAGGGAAGGGCTGAAAGATTAGCATGCAGCCACAGTCCTTCCTATTCGCCAACTATTTTGCTTACAATTTTGTTATCTGATCATTCCAGATGCTAGTAACCTGATGATAGAAAAATGCAAAAGTATCTTGACTCAGCCTGTTTTCAGTTCAGACTTTGCTACTTTTTGTGTCACTGTCAGAGGTGTTGGAACCAGAGCGACTCTATTTTGAGTGAGGGCTAGGAAAATGAGGCTGGGATTTGCTGGGCTGCATTTCCAGAAGGTTAGTCATTCCTAGCCTCTAGATGTCTATGGTTAAGGGAACAAATTAATAATGTTTGCTAAACAGACCCAGACTTGGGCATGTCCAGATATCCCGATATCTGGAGAACAAAGGCATTCCTAATTTTGCTTTAAAGATAATAATATTGATTCTTGCAAAATATAGTAATCAAGCAAATTAATCCTTTATCACAAATCCTTGTAGCAGAGCACATCTCCCCATATATACAAGTATTGTACTTAGGGTGGATGTGTTTCTCTTCTTACTTTCAGGAACATCCTACTCTGTCTATGGAGTAGACATTCTTTCACCACTTTACTCGCTTAATAAACTTGCTTTTACTTTGCACTGCGGACTCGCCCTGAATTCTTTCTTGCACGAGATCCAAGAACCCTCTCTTGGGGTCTGGATCCGGACCCCTTTCCTATAACATCTTTCTGGCAAAACCTAAAGGGACTACAGTGAGGAAACCTTTGACCCAAAGGCTAACTTTGGGTAAGTGGTGGGGTCCTGTAACATCTTTCTGGTGACACAGAAGGGACTATAGAGCAGAAACCCTGACCCAATGGCTACCTTTGGGTAAGTGCTGGGGTCCTGTAACATCACCATCAGCAAATCATTTAGCCCTTCAGGAATGCAGTGTTGTCACCTACAAATGGAAATATTTCTAGCCACATCTTCTCCTTCACAGGGTTGTTGTGAATATTGGGTAAAATCATACTGTGCAAAGTGATAATATTTCAAAAGTCTCCTGCTAAGCTGCAATACCTCAACTGAGAAGGGCTTATTATCACCCATAATCACATTCATGGATGACTAATTCTCATCAGCTTTCTCTCGGAGATGGAACATAAGCTCAAGTGATCTCAGGAAATGTCCATAGCAGGAAACACAAAGCTGGACATCAGAAGGACGCTGAGAAGACAGATGACAACAAAGGACAGGGGGTGTTGAAGAGGAAACTTGTCCAGGACCAGAATTACTGGGAACATGAATTTACAGCATTCCAAAGTCCTTACAGTTTAATGAAAGGAGAGGCAGTCCTTTGAACTCAAGTTTTAAAGATGTTACATTTAAAAGGCACATGCAACAGAATAGGCCCTTTCCAAGAAACAATAGCGTTTAAGTGCTGGCACAATTACCAGCAGGTTTTCTATGTTAAATATATATTCTGAAAATAGAAAGGACATTTCATACAACTTTTTCTTTAACCAAACAATCAAGAAGCAAGTGGTACAGCTCTCAGACCTTCAGATGACAATTACTGAACTCAGGGAAGAGAAATGTTTCTTCCCCTGGGACCTCTAAAATTACTGGTAACATGACTATGGAAAATGTGTCAAATAAACCAAAGCACCAACTTCAGAGACGGAAAGTCATTGGCTTTCCTGTGAAAATATCAAATATTTCACAGTTACTTGGCCAAATGTATGCTCACATTAGGTCAACAGAACATATTGTAATATTTTTCATTTATCCTGCTCTGCATGTATTATTAACATATTACAAATAAAATGAAAGTGATAGGTAGGAGAGAGTGCAGACTAGATGTCTTTATGGTCTAATTCGTTTTGATGAAGGCAGTTGCTATAAGGCACTTTCCCATTCAGGGGTTTAAGTCTTCCAGCCTTGGGCATAAGGAGCAGAAGAAATCCTTGGTGTAGAAATAAATGAAATAAAGAAAACAGGACTAAGGAGATGCTCTACCAAGTGGGGGATTCTAAGAGCCAAATTTTCTTCAATTTGTTTACTCATTCGTAAAAGGAATTCACACATCAATTATTGATTGAAACCCTTTAATGTGCCAGACACATGGAGGGGGACATGTTGCAGGGAGAGCAGGAGGGAAGTGGATGAGGCCTTTGCTCTTAGGAAGCTTCCAATCTAGGAGAGAAGACTTCTATTAAACAATAATTAAACAAAGCGCCACATCACTATTTGGATAGAGAATGGGTATTGAAGGGAGATGAACAGAAACTCAACTGGGGCTATAGATATCTACGTTAATGTCTTCAACCTCTTCCTTTCCTCAGATTGCTATATGCCTCCATGCTTTTGATTCTCTCTCTTCCTTTCCCTCTCTTCCAGTGTTCCACTGATTTTAGCAACAATTAAAAAAAAATCAAAAAAAAAAAAACAAGGAGTGGGGCAAGCCTTGGGTTGTGTGCCAGAAGCTGAAGAAACTCCTTAGCTCAGCATAGAATCAAATGCTAGCTTCTGTGGCAGCCAAAGTGAATCTATCAGACTAATGACATTCACAGTCTACATTGTGCTTCATCGTAATTAACCTTAAGTGGTTCGGGTAAATCACTTTAATTTGTTATGTGTTGGCAGAATCAAACTACTTTTTTTGCTTCTTCTTTGCCTTTTAGTTTAATCTTGTTTATCATCAACATCATAGCTTATGCTAGGAAATTATCAGTGGAAGCCCCTGTTTTCTACTATCTGAAATTCCTTCCACAATGGAAAGAAAGGGGAGTGGTGTCTTGCATCTCAACATGATAGCTGGCATGAATGAGAGTGAAGAGCCTCTTTCCAAGCAGTTTTTGTGTTTTTAATTTCACATTCTTTTACTTGAAGAGGGCCCCCAAATCTTGGATCCACCCTTAAATGATATTAAGACTAAAAAAGTATATAACCCATAAGAATAAAAAATGTTGACTAAAATAGATTGATATCATATCAGTGGGACATCAGAATAAAAGACATATTTGTGTGTGAGACAGAATAATAAAGGGAAGAAAAGGGCATAGAAATAAACATAGCTGGGCTGAGCGCAGTGGCTCATGTCTATAATCTCAACCATTTGGAGGGCTGAGAGAGGAGGATCCCTTGAGCTCAGAAGTTTGAGACTAGCCTGGGCAACATGTTGAGACCCCATAGCTACAAAATTTTTTTTAAAAAATTAGCCTGTAGTGCCAGCTACTCAAGAGGCTGAGGAAAGAGGATCACTTGAGCCAGGAGGTTGAGGCTGCAGCGAGCTGTGATCACACCACTGCACTCCACCCTGTATACAGAGCAAGACTCTGTCTCAAAATAAATAAGTAACTGGTTTATTCTACCTTTGGTTGGGATGGAGCATTCTTCAAACATTCAATGAATATTTACTGTGCACTCCTATGTGCCAGGCACAGTTCCAGAAAAATGAGATACATCAGGAAACAAAACAATCAATAATGCCTACCTTGTGGAGCTTACATTCTAACAAGGGAAGATAGACAATAAACACTAAGCATATTAAGTAAGCATATATTGCATTAGAAGGTGATAAGCATAATGGGAGGATTGGGAGTTTGGGGTAAGGACATAGAAGATTTGAAAAACACAATCAACCAACAAGATAGATGCCATACTCTGTATATGAATACTCCACGCAATAATAGCAGCAGTCACATTTTTTTCTTGCACCCATAGAATTTCAAGATAAACAATATCCTGGAAAATAAAATGAACTTAGATAATTAAAAAGAGAAGGAAGACATTTGGCTTTTACTGAGAATGAACTGAGGCTCATTGTAGGGTGTTGAACAAAAGGGACCTTGTAAGGCTGTTCTGGCTATTGCATTTCCTCTTGTTGGGGAAGAGAGGCACAAAGCTAGAGGCTAAGAGAACAGTTAGGAGGCTGTTGCCACCACCTGAGTGAGAGATGGTGGTGGTTTGGGGTCAAGGTCTTAGCTTTGAAGGCAAAAAAGAGTAGCCTGATTGTGCTAACTTCAGGGAAGTATAATACAAAATTGTTTTAATATTGCTATCATTTGAAATAATAGGGGGAATAGTAACACACCGCATCTCAGAATAGAAGCACTATTATGTCTTTTTAAAAATTTTTTAATTTAATTTTATTTATTTATTTTTTATTGTACTTTAAGTTCTAGGGTACATATGCACAATGTGCAGGTTTGATACATAGGTATACGTGTGCCATGTTGGTTTGCTGCACCCATTAACTCATCATTTACATTAGGTATTTCTCCTAATACTATCCCTCCCCCAGCCCCCCACCTTATTACAGGCCCCAGTGTGTGATGCTCCCCACACTTGTCCAAGTGTTCTCATTGTTCAATTCCCACCTATAAGTAAGAACATGCAGTGTTTGGTTTTCTGTCCTTGTGACAGTTTGCTCAGAATGATGGTTTCCAGCTGCATCCATGACCTGCAAAGGACATTAACTCATCCTTTTTTATGGCTGCATAGTATTCCATGGTGTATATGTGCCACATTTTCTTAATCTAGTCTATCATTGATGGACATTTGGGTTGGTTCCAAGTGTTTGCTATTGTGAATAGTGCCACAATAAACATACCTGTGCATGTGTCTTTATAGTAGCATGATTTAGAATCCTTTGGGTATATACCCAGTAGTAATGGGATTGCTTGGTCAAATGGTATTTCTCATTCTAGATCCTTGAGGAATCACCACACTGTCTTCCACAATGGTTGAACTAATTTACACTCCCACCAGCAGTGTAAAAGCGTTCCTTTTTCTCCACATCCTCTCCAGCATCTGTTGTTTCCTGACTTTTTACTTACCGCCATTCTAACTGCTGTGAAATGGTATCTCATTGTGGTTTTAATATGCATTTCTCTGATGACCAGTGATGATGAGGACTTTTTCTTGTGTCTATTGGCTGCATACATGTCTTCTTTTGAGAAGTGACTGTTCATATCCTTTGCCCACTTTTTGATGGGGTTGTTTGATGTTTTTCTTATGAATTTGTTTGAGTTATTTGTAGATTCTGGATATTAGCACTTTGTCAGATGGGTAGATTGCAAAAATTTTCTCCCATTCTGTAGGTTGCCTGTTCACTCTGATGGTAGTTTCTTCTGCTGTGCAGAAGCTCCTTAGTTCAATTAGATCCCATTTGTCTATTTTGACTTTTGTTGCCATTGCTTTTTGTGTTTTAGTCATGAAGTCCTTGCCCATTCCTATGTCCTGAATGGTATTGCCTGGGTTTTCTTCTAGGGTTTTTATGGTTTTAGGTCTAACATTTAAGTCTTTAATCCATCTTAAATTAATTTTTTTATAAGGTGTAAGGAAGGGATCCAGTTTCAGCTTTCTACATATGGCTAGCCAGTTTTCCCAGCGCCATTTATTAAATAGGGAATCGTTTCCCCATTGCTCATTTTTGTCAGGTTTTTCAAAGATCAGATGGTTGTAGATGTGTGGTGTTATTTCTGAGGCCTCTGTTCTATTCCAATGGTCTATACCTCTGTTTTGGTACCAGTACCATGCTGTCTTGGTTACTGTAGCCTTGTAGTATAGTTTGAAGTCAGGTAGCATGATGCCTCCAGCCTCTTGGCAATGCGGGCTCTTTTTTGGTTCCATATGAACTTTAAAGTAGTTTTTTCCAATTCTGTAAAGAAAGTCATTGGTAGTTTGATGGGGATGGCATCGAATCTATAAATTACCTTGGGCAGTATGGCCATTTTCATGATATTGATTCTTCCTATCCATAAGCGTGGAATGTTCTTCCATGTCTTTGTGTCCTCCTTTATTTTGTAGAGCAGTAGTTTGTAGTTCTCCTTGAAGAGGTCCTTCACATCCCTTGTAAGTTGGATTCCTAGGTATTGTATTCTCTTTGTAGCAATTGTGAATGTGAGTTCACTCATGATTTGGCTCTCTGTTTGTCTGTTATTGGTGTATAGGAATGTTTGTGATTTTTGCACATTGATTTTGTATCCTGAGACTTTGCTTAAGTTGCTTATCAGCTTTAGGAGATTTTGGGCTGAGATGATGGGGCTTTCTTTTCTTTCTTGCTTTCTTGCTTTTTTTTTTTTTTTTTTTGAGATGGAGTCTCACTCTGTTGCCCAGGCTGGAGTGCAGTGGCATGATCTTGGCTCACTGCAAGCTCTGCCTCCTGGGTTCATGCCATTCTCCTGCCTCAGCCTCCTGAGTAGCTGGGACTACAGGCACCTGCCACCACGTCCAGCTAATTTTTTTTTTTTTTTTTTTTTGTATTTTTAGTAGAGATGGAGTTTCACCATGTTAGCCAGGATGGTCTTGATCTCCTGAACTTGTGATCCACCCGCCTCAGCCCCCTAAAGTGCTGGGATTACAAGTGTGAGTCCCCACACCTGGCCAGATGATTGGGTTTTCTAAATATACAATCATGTCATCTGCAAACAGGGACAATTCGACTTCCTCTTTTCCTAATTGAATACCCTTTATTTCCTTCTCCTGCCTGATTGCCCTGGCCAGAACTTCCAACACTATGTTGAATAGGAGTGGTGAGAGAGGGCATCCCTCTCTTGTGCCGGTTTTCAAAGGGAATGCTTCCAGTTTTTGCCAATTCAGTATGATATTGGCTGTGGGTTTGTTATAAATTGCTCTTATTATTTTGAGATAGGTCCCATCTATACCTAGTTTATTGAGAGTTTTTAGCATGAAGGGCTGTTGAATCTTGTCAAAGGCCTTTTCTGCATCTATTGAGATAATCATGTGTTTTTTTGTCATTGGTTCTGTTTATGTGATGGATTACATTTATTGATTTGCATATGTTGAACCAGCCTTTCATCCCAGGGATGAAGCCACCTTGATTGTGTTGATAAGCTTTTTGATGTGCTGCTGGATTCAGTTTGCCAGTATTTTATTGAGGATTTTTGCATCAATGTTCATCAGGGATATTGGTCTAAAATTCTCTTTTTTTGTTGTGTCTGTGCCAGGCTTTGGTATCAGGATGATGCTGGCCTCATAAAATGAGTTAGGGAGGATTCCCTCTTTTTCTATTGATTGGAATAGTTTCAGAAGGAATGGTACCAGCTCCTCTTTGTACCTCTGGTAGAATTCAGCTGTCAATCCATCTGGTCCTGGAATTTTTTTGGTTGGTAGGCTATTAATTATTGCCTCAATTTCAGAGCCTGTTATTGGTCTATTCAGAGATTCAACTTCTTCCTGGTTTAGTCTTGAGAGGGTGTATGTGTCCAGGAATTTATCCATTTCTTCTAGATTTTCTAGTTTATTTGCATTTATAGTGTTCTCTGATGGTAGTTTGTATTTCTGTGTGATCAGTGGTGATATCCCCTTTATCATTTTTTATTGTGTCTGTTTGATTCTTCTTTCTTCTTTATTATTCTGGCTAGCTGCCTATCAATTTTGTTATCTTTTCAAAGAACAAGCTTCTGGATTTGTTGATTTTTTGAAGGGGTTTTTGTGTCTCTATCTCCTTCAGTTCTGCTCTGATCTTAGTTATTTCTTGCCTTCTGCTAGCTTTTAAATTTGTTTGCTCTTGCTTCTCTAGTTCTCTTAATTGTGATGCTAGAGTGTCAATTTTAGATCTTTCCTGCTTTCTCTTGTGGGCATTTAGTGCTATAAATTTCCCTCTACACACTGCTTTAAATGTGTCCCAGATATTCTGGTACCTTTTGTCTTTGTTCTCATTGGTTTCAAAGAACATCTTTATTTCTGCCTTCATTTCATTATTTACCCAGTAGTCATTCAGGAGCGGGTGGTTCAGTTTCCATGTAGTTGTGCAGTTTTGAGTGAGTTTCTTAATCCTGAGTTCTAATTTGATTGCACTGTGGTCTGAGAGACAGTTTGTTATGATATCTGTTCTTTTACATTTGCTGAGGAGTGCTTTATTTCCAAATATGTGGTCAATTGTGGAATAAGTGCAATGTGGTGCTGAGAAGAACATATATTCTGCTGATTTGGGGTGGAGAGTTCTGTATATGTCTATTAGATCTGCTTGGTGCAGAGCTGAGTTCAATTCCTGGATATCCTTGTTAACCTTCTGTCTCGTTGATCTGTCTAATTTTGACAGTGGGGTGTTAAAGTCTCCCATTATTATTGTGTGGGAGTCTAAGTCTCTTTGTAGGTCTCTAAGGACTTGCTTTATGAATCTGGGTGCTCCTGTATTGGGTGCATATATATTTAGGATAGTCAGCTCTTCTTGTTGAATTGATCCCTTTACCATTATGTAATGGCCTTCTTTGTCTCTTTTGATCTTTGTTGGTTTAAAGCCTGTTTTATCAGAGACTAGGATTGCAACTCCTGCTTTTTTTGCTTTCTATTTGCTTGGTAGATCTTCTTCCATCCCTTTATTTTGAGCCAGTGTGTGTCTCTGCACGTGAGATGGGTCTCCTGAATACAGCACACTGATGGGTGTTGACTCTTTATCCAATTTGCCATTCTGAGTCTTTTAATTGGGGCATTTAGCCCATTTGCATTTAAGGTTAATATTGTTATGTGTGAATTTGATCCTGTCGTTATGATGTTAGCTGGTTATTTTGCCCATTAGTTGATGCAGTTTCTTCCTAGCATCGATGGTCTTTACAATTTGGCATGTTTTTGCAGTGGCTGGTACTGGCTGTTCCTTTCCATGTTTAGTGCTTCCTTCAGGAGCTCTTGTAAGGTAGGCCTGGTGGTGACAAAATCTCTGAGCATTTGCTTGTCTGTAAAGTATTTTATTTCTCCTTCACTTATGAAGCTTAGTTTGGCTGGATATGAAATTCTAGGTTGAAAATTCTTTTCTTTAAGAATGTTGAATATTGGCCCCCCCTCTCTTCTGGCTTGTAGAGTTTCTGCCAAGAGATCCGCTGTTAGTCTGATGGGCTTCCCTTTGTGGGTAATCCGACCTTTCTCTCTGGCTGCCCTTAGCATTTTTTCCTTCATTTCAACCTTGGTGAATCTGACAATTATGTGTCTTGGGTTTGCTCTTCTCAAGGAGTATCTTTGTGGTGTTCTCTGTATTTCCTGAATTTGAATGTTGGCCTGCCTTGCTAGGTTGGGGAGGTTCTCCTGGATAATACCCTGAAGAGTGTTTTTCAACTTGGTTCCATTCTCCCCATCACTTTCAGTACACCCATCAAATGTAGATTTGGTCTTTTTTATAGTCTCATATTTCTTAGAGGCTTTGTTCATTTCTTTTTACTCTTTTTTCTCTAAACTTCTGTTCTTGCTTTATTTCATTCATTTGATCTTCAATCACTGATACCCTTTCTTCTACTTGATTGAATCAGCTACTGAAGCTTGTGCATGCATCACATAGTTCTTGTGCACAGTTTTCAGCTCCATCAGGTCATTTAAGGTCTTCTCTATACTGCTTATTCTAGTTAGCCATTCGTCTAATCTTCCTAAGCTTCCTTGTGATGGGTTTGAACATTCTCCTTCAGCTTGGAAAAGTTTGTTATTACCAACCTTCTGAAGCCTACTTCAGTCAACTCATCAAAGTCATTCTTTGTCCAGCTTTGTCCTGTTGCTGGTGAGGAGCTGTGATCCTTTGGAGGAGAAGAGGCATTCTGGTTTTCGGAATTTTCAGCTTTTCTAAAAAGCTCTGGTTTCTCCCCATCTTTGTGGTTTTATCTACCTTTGGTCTTTGATGTTGGTGATCTACAGATGGGCTTTTGATGTGGATGTCCTTTTTGTTGATGTTGATGCTATTCCTTTCTGTTTGTTACTTTTCCTTCTAACAGGTCCCTCAGCTGCAGGTCTCTTGGAGTTTGCTGGGGGTCCACTCCAGACGCTGTTTGCCTGGATATCACCAGTAGAGGCTGCAGAACAGCAAAAATTGCTGCCTGATCCTTCCTCTGGAAGCTTTGTCCCAGAGGGCACCTGCGTGAATGAGGTGTCAGTCAGCCCCTATTGGGAGGTGTCTCCCAGTTAGGCTACACAGAGGTCAGGGACCCACTTGAGGAGGCAGTCTGTCTGTTCTCAGAGCTCAAATGCCATGCTGGAACAACCACTGTTCTCTTCAGAGCTGTCAGACAGGGATGTTTAAGTCTGCAGAAGTTTCTGCTACCTTTTGTTTAGCTATGACCTGCCCCCAGAGAAGGAGTCAACAGGCAGCAGGCCTTACTGAGCTGTGGTGGGCTCCACCCAGTTCGAGCTTCCCTGGCTGCTTTACTTACTCAAGCCTCAGCAATGGCCGACGCCCCTCTACCGCCAGACTATTGCCTCACAGGTTGATCTCAGACTGCTGAGCTAGCAGTGAGCAAGGCCCTGTGGGTAAGGGACCCACTGAGCCAGGCATGGGATATAATCTCCTGGTGTACTGTTTGTTAAGACCATTGGAAAAGCGCAATATTTAGGTGGAAATGTCTGGTTTTTCCAGTACAGTTTGTCATGGCTTCCCTTGGCTAGGAAAGGGAAATCCTCTGTCCCTTTGCACTTCCTGGATGAGGCGATGCCCTGGCCTGCTTCAACTCGACCTCCATGGGCTGTACCACTGTTCAACCAGTCCCAGTGAGATGAACCAGGTACCTCACTTGGAAATGCAGAAATCACCTGTCTTCTGCATCCATCATGCTGGGAGCTGCAGACTGGAGCTGTTCCTATTCAGCCACCCGAGAAGCTTATGGCTTACATGACACAACTTGAGTTATCTTTCCCAAATGAAAATTAATAAGGGTTGCACCTCAAGATGTTAGTAAAAGGTCATTGCTTTATATTTAATTTTTCTAAATTCAATTATTGTGTCTTGGCAAAAACAGACAAAAGGAGGAGTTGGTCAAAGAGGAGGAAACAAATCACTTAAATTGGGTCACAATTCTGGCCTGCCATTTCACTAAATGACCATGAGATGAAAAGGAAGTTTGTTCTTCTCAGATCAGGCTTAGTTCTTGGTGCCTCTCAACATGAAGTTGTTTCAAAATGTGGCCTTTTGGTGTGATATGTTCCCTACAGGCAAACCTGCTATACTACTTAATGTTCAATCCGAGAAACCAACAATTTGTTTTAACATTGAAGGAAAAATTGACAGTGCTAGACATATTGAGAGGTGGGCTGTGGGTCTCCAAAAATGTTGCTTCCTAAGGACTTTCAAGAACCAGTTATGTTTAAATTCATTTTCCTTACTGATTGTCAAATCTAATCACTAAGTAGCAATGTAAGTCCCTTGTATTGAGATATAATACCATTAATATTGTATGCCAGGTGCTAGTATGTTCATTTATTCAATACTCATAATAAGTCTATACTTATATTTATATATCCATACTATCCTATGAACTTTTCATTTTAATTATGAAGGAACTGAGGAACACAGAGATTTGACAACTTGTCAGCATCATACATTTGGTAAGAGTAGAGCTTGGGTTTCAAACCCAGACAGTCTGGCTCTGAAGTCTGAACTTATTTAAGACTAGGATATAATTTTATGAATAAATATTGACTTAGTTTTTTAAACATTTTATTTATTTATATGGGTGCCAGGGCATAGGGATTGAGCGGAGGGGGTGCTCAGGGAAGGGGCTAAATATTGACTTTAGCAACCCAAAAATGGTTACTTACTTCCAAGCAAAAGAAAAATTCCTTCCCATCTTCTACCATTCAGTATGAAGACACTGAATTCACTATGTAGCCAGAAAGGTAATAAAATGTTTGAAGATTGAAAAAAAAAAAAAAAAGATATAGAATGGACAGATCCCTGCTGCTGAGAAAAATGAAAAGCTCTTAAAGGCCATAGACAAAGCTTCATTGACCTCCGCAGGGGCCCAGAGGTAACCCTACTCCTTTCTGGGAATTAATGGTCTGCTTATTCTTCATTCTCCATGTCCTTCCCCACCTAGATTGTGAACATCTCAATGGGTAGAACTCTGCTGTCTTAATCATACTAGAATCTAAAGTGTTTAGTACAGTGCCTGGTGCATAATAAATGCTTTCAAATGTGTTGAATGAAATACTAAATGAATGAAAAAGATAATAAAATTGTGATTCATATGGTGACTGGATTTTTGTTCTTCTTTATCTCTCTCTAATAGACAAACAGGCAACCATACATTATTCAGTAACCTTGAGGCTGATGCTTTTCACTCTTACAAGCCTCAGGTAATTATGCTGTCCTGAAAACACCCATTAAGGACCTTATGCAGAATCCTCAGATGTTTATCTCCAGGGGCCGTAAGTGACCTAAAGCAATTTTTGGAAGCAGTGATAGTGCCATTAAAACTAGTAGAAAGTGGTCACTCTCTTTTCTGCATGTGGTAAGCTTACTGTCTTTATTGTCACCTTCATAATAAGAGAAAATATTTTATTTTATTATTATTTTTTTTTTTCTGAAGAGTGTGGATAATGAATTGGTGAGGGAGAGGCTAAATCCTTTGCTGACTTCTAATGATGAGCAAAAAAGACAATTCAAGTTCAAGGGTGTTTTCTCTGAGACAGAGTTTTTCACCTCAGGGCAATCTTTGCTTCTTTGTGAAACCAAACCTGCTAATTGGTATCCTCCTCTGACAATGCCCACATTGGGTCCCTGGAGCCCAATAAGTATCTAGGGCCCCCAGCTATCTAGCAATCATGGGAACAAGAGGGGAATAAATTATCATTAAAGACTCATTGTTCTCCACAGCTGGGAGTTTGGGCTTTTAAAAACATCAAAATGTGCTAGGTCATTTAATAATTTACTTCCTGAAGTACATTCTAATTCTAATTGAAATGTATGTTTTACTTAGCACTAGGTGGGAAACATAGAACCACACTCTTGAAGGTATCTCTTTGAGAGCCACTTGCTTTATTGAAAAGCTTTGCCTTCAGCTTTGTAACTTTGTATTACAGTTCATATAGTCTTTATAAAGATAACTATTCCTGTAAATCTGGCATAGGCTTAGTTTTTTTTCTCTAGGCTTTGCTCACAGAATTCAGACGCCTGACTCTGGAACAGAAAGTGAACATGCGTGCTTTGCAGATGATTCTGACTTAAACATATGGCTATTATGTTGTACATTTTAAAAAGTATATTTAATGCAGTGAATTCAACTGCTTTCCATATGGTTTGATTTTGTTTTTCCCCCCCTTCCAACTCCATGCAGGTTAGTTCTTCCCCTACTACTTCACAGCCTTGTGGGGGTGTGTTCATCAGTGTCAGAGCATGACAACATGTCAGCTTGCACATTGTATATAGCTGGCACTCTTTTAGCTGGAAGCAACACAAGCTAGCTTAAACAATTGAGACAATTATTATCTCACTAAATAGAAAGTTCAGAGTCAGGGCAAACTCCAAGTTTAATCAGCAGCCCAGTATTGTCACCAAACCCCTAGGATTTTTCTCTCCATCCTGCTCATTTCAATGTCAGTTTCATCCAAAGTCTGGTTCTCCTCATAAATCCCAAGAAAGCTCATGGGTTGATCAGACCTTTATTCTTTCTTGTTCTTGCCAGCAGGAGAGAGAAAGATGATCTTTGCCAACAGGAAAGATCTTTGCTGTCAGCCTAGTTGGGCCATCATAGGCCTCACACCAATCATAGTTGTCAGGGGAATGTAAAATGGGTTTGACCGTCGATGTCCAATATAGTGGCCATTAGCCATACTGAGCCCTTGAAATATGGCTAGTCCAAAATGACATGCACTGTAAGTGAAAAAGATACACTGGATTTTAAAGACGTAATATGAAAAAAATGTAATATAGCTCATTAATAATTTCTATACTGATTATATTGACAATGTATTTCAGATATATTAGATTAAATAAAATACATTATTAAAATTAATTTACCTGTTTCTTTTTACTTTTTTAAAAATGTGACTGCTAGAAAACTTTAAATTACTTATATGGCTTCCTATATTTCTATTGGATGGTGCTAGCTAACTAATCAAGATTCCCTCTGAAGTGGGGGTGAGGTACACACTCGAATGAAATTTAAGGTTTTCTTAGAAAAAGGAAAGCAAGAATCAATGTGAAGTAAGCAGCCACATGGTCTACTTCGTCTGGAGGACCATTTTTTAAATTGCTTTCTGTTGTTTTTATTCTAATTTCTAATTGGTGACTGGAGGATATAAGAAAATCAGTAGTAACATGTGGGTTTCGTTGGGGACCAGGCCAGTTTTTTCTAAGCATTCCAAACTATGTACTATGTGGGAGTTTTGAGACAGCAGAGATGTCATATACTATTCTTGATTGCCAAGTAAGTTAACTGGGAACAACGCTGGATTGAGCTCACAGGCCTGAATCCTTTTCCATTGCTTAGTCTTAAACAATTTTATTTTGTTTCATGTTCAGCACTTATTCTGTTATTAAAGCAATATGTAACAGTGGCACCAAATGTATAAAAATGATTAATACACTGTGGGGCACAGGAGACCTTTCCTGGTGTCAGTTGCTTGTTGCTTTCTACTCTACACCATTTCTCTTTTTTTTCCTTCTTGTTTCTTGCCTTACACTCATAGGCAGAAGGACTCCTTTTCACACTTACCTTATTGTAGGTAACCTCTGTCTGTTTCACAGCTAATTGTGCAACGAAGAACAAGGATTTGGTAGAGTTGGTAGAATAATCGGGAAGCCTGTAGACATTAGTGAAGAAAAATCAGCGTGAATTCTTAACAAATTATAAGTTACTGTCAAGATGGCCAATTGTAAAGCCAAGACTCTTCCTTGAGAAAAGTCTCTTATCATCAAAGGTGTGTATGCAGGGCAGGACGATATTCTACTTTAGGTTCAACTCACCCCAGGGCTGGTATTCTCCTTGCACACAGCAGCACAGCCTAAACCAGGAGCTGCACTATTGAAATACTTCTACAGCAGTTACTAAATAGCCACTGCCCAAAACCTCCACATTCCTTTCTTACCACCCTGGCTTTTCTGGCCTCTCCCCCTGAAATCTGGCAGGGAAGATGCAGACAGGACCTCCAGGGTCCTCTTGGCGCTGAAGGGACCTCCAGGACTCTGCCGTACTTTTAAACAATGCTTCAACTGCCCAACATTTAAACCTGCCTTAAACTAGTGATCAGTTTCCATCTTAGCAAAGAGACAAAGGAAAACAAAATATCTGGAATGAAAACTAAGAAGGCGAAGGGCCGGGCACAGTGGCTCATGCCTGTAATCCCAGCACTTTGGGAAGCTGAGGGGGGATCACGAGGTCAGGAGTTTGAGACCAGCCTGCCCAACATAGTGAAACCCCGTCCCTACTAAAAATACAAAAATTAGCCAAGCGTGGTGTCAGTCACCTGTAGTCCCAGCTACTGGGAAGGCTCAGGCAGGAGAATCGCTTGAACCCGGGAGGTGGAGGTTGTAGTGAGCTGAGATAGCGCCATTGCACTCCAGCCTGGGCAACAAGAGCAAAACTCCGTCTCACAAAAAAAAAAAAAGAAAGAAAGAAAGAAAAGAAAAGGAAAGAAAACTAAGAAGGCAACTTAATGTTTTCTTTGATGATTTCTAATAAAAAACAAAATCATTGTAATTTTTTATTCATACACTCCATTTAAAGACTTCTCTTGAAGAGTCATAGTGGAGCGGAAAGAAAACTGTAGCACTTTGTGATACGATAACTAGATTCCAGTTTTATCCTGACACTGGCCACCTGTGTGAACTTGGTAAGTTTCTTCATTTCTGCAAGCCTCACTTCCTCATGAGTAAAAAGCAATAATGCCAGTTCCCACTTCACAGAGTTATGAAGGTAAAAATCAAATAAAATATGAAAGCAACCAGCCCTGTTCTTGGCACATCACCAATGCTTGATAAGCTCTGGTCGAATTAGAATTTGAGAAGCTGGAGAACAACTGCATGAAAAGATTTTTTGTAACTTTGTATTGAAGTAAGACATACAGGCAGAAAAATTTAAATTATTGTATTTAGTGTAATAAATTCCTGTAGAGAGAACACATGTAACCAGCACCCCCATCAGGAAATTAAACGTTATCCATACCCCAGGAGTCCCCTCCTGCCTCCTTCCAATCACCCATCTCTAAGGAACTTTTCATACCAGACTGATTGTTTTAATGTGGGAACAGAATATTGCACATGCCCTGATGGGCTTGAGTGCTTAAAAACAAACAAAAAAGGTTCAGGTGAGTTGTTCTCCAGGCTGAATGGAGAACCTGCGATAGATTATGTAGAGGCGCGTTAAAGACAAGCACAAAATCTCTCACTCACTCATACACTTGCACAGTCATACACTGCAAATGTGTAAGGACTTCCTTTTCTGTGAACAATGCCAGGTTAGGGATTGTGGCATTTGCAAACATGCTCCCTGTTCTCCAGGATTTTTTTTTTTGAGAAGAAGTCTCACTCTGTCACCCAGGCTGGAGTGCACTAGAGTGATCTCAGTTCACTGCAACCTCCACCTCCCAGGTTCAAGCAATTGTCCTGCCCTAGTCTCCCAAGTAGCTGAGATTACAGGTGCATGCCACTGCACTAGGCTAATTTTTGTATTTTTAATAGAGATGAGGTTTTACCATGTTGTACAGGCTGGTCTTGAACTCCTGACCTCAGGTGATCTGCCCACCTTGGCCTCCCAAAGTGCTGCAATTACAGGCATGAGCCACTACGCCTGGCCAGGATTTTTACCAAAGGAGCAGCATAAGCAAAATGGGAAACCACTGTCTAGGGATCAGCAAGCCTGGTTTCTCCTATTCTGCTAGTGAACTGAAGCCTAGGGTTGGGGTAGACCAGTGAAGGCATGAATGCCAGGCAAAGGATGTCTGCAGGCAGTATGGAGCCACTGGATGCTTTTGAGTGTGGGGTGACAAGGCAAAAATATTTTTATTGTGGAGGACGGATCTGGGAAAAGAGAGACTAGCCACAGAAAGTCAATGAGGAGGCTCTGCAAAACAGTCTAAGCCAATGAAGCCTCAGAATCACCTAGAGAGGTTTAAGCCACAGATTGCTGGGACCCTTCCCCAGGGTTGCTGCTTTAGAGGGTCTAGTTAATCTGAGAATTTACATTTTAAGTTTCCAGGTAATACACTTTGAGAATCACAGTTCTGAGCCAAAAGTTCTCAACACTCACAATACATTAGACTCACCTAGAGAGTGTTTTACAAACACCCATGCCCACGTCTCACCTCCAAAAAAAGACTAGGATTTAATTATTCTGGGGTAAAGCCTGGGCATTAACATTTTCTAAGAGTGATTCTATCGCGTTGCCAATTTTGAGAACTACTTATCTAGACAGGGATTCTGGAATGTGGCTCCTTATCAGAATTACCCAGAGAGCATGATAAATAGATACCTGGGCACCACCCCAGATAAAGGACATGTAGGGTGGAGTCCTGGCATTCCTATGCTTGATCTTCACAGACTGGTCACTCTGATGCAGATGGTTCTCACACTGGCTTTTGGGAACTGCTGGTCTGGAAAGGCAGATGAGGACGCAAACCCTAAAAACAAAGTATGAGGAATGGCAATAAATGAGAGCTCCTAGGATTTTCTGACTTCTTAGATGGGCAGATCTTGGAATGGAATTGAAGCCCAGAAGGTGGGAAATCTACATACGGGTCACAAGAAAGCCTTGTGTGGCTGTCAAGGTCTCACAAAGAGCCACCACTTGAATCAGTTATCTTCCTGCCAACAGCCTGACACATCCAGATGCCTCATCTTATCAAACCCTGACAATTAGTGGGTGCTAATTCATGCTGACTAAGCCCTAGGAGGTTCAAGTCTCTAACACAGCATAGCAACTGTTAATTTTCACTGAGAATCAATAACAACCAAGGTAGCCAAACACTTGTATTCTTCCCACGGGTAGATCACACAGAAAGCCAAATTGTCATCAGAAAGTTACTGGTAGAGATGGAATCAGAGCGGAGAGGAGTTAATTGCATGATTCAAATGTTTAGGGGCATCAGGCTGTGATAGCTGGGTGCCTCCTCTACAAGTGAATATTGGGAGGAGTCTGAAAAGACACAGCCTCTAATGGACAGTTCCTAATGGCCACAGCCAGTATTTGCCCCAGTGACTCGGCTGGATTTGTGCTCCACCATCCACAAGCTAATTAATTCATTAAGTCTTTAGATATATGAATATTCTCAATCAAATGAGTCTCATCTTGCTCACCCGTGAGTCCCTATGTTTCTTAGGGCGATTTTGCATATCTCTCATCTGAACAATGATGTAGTTTATAGTTTAGTTCTCAGAGGACAATTCCATTTTCCTTAATACTACACTTCTGGAGTGGTAGTATTAGGGAAAAATACTGTCGCCACATACAGTTCAATTTCACTCTTTTAGCAACAATTAGTCTTATTTTATGTGGCAGAATTAGAGGCTAATATTTTAATTATTTTTATGTTTTTTCAAAGCATAATATACTGTCATGAATAAAAGAGACCTAGTTAACCCTGAGCATATGAGGCCTTTATGCTCAGATCATGAGGCCACAATACCTGGGTCACTTCTCACCTACTAAGAACTTCCTCGAAAAGCAGGCAGGCAACTGTAGTTAGAAAACAAAGAATTAAGTTCTGCAAGTGTGCCTGGCAACCTAAACCTGCAAAATGATGGCAAACGTCCCAACCATATTTTAGCTTTACAGTTATGTTGATGATGAAACAGGCTCTTTGTGAGAGCCAAAAGCAGAACAAAGCATTTTTATCATGCTTGATAAAGATAACGAGAGAAATAAATCCAAACCATAGCATTTAGTTGGCTTCTTGAGGAGAGAGAAGGAGTGGGAGTGATGAGATGTGGACTCCCCAAGTGCCCATTTGTTGCTTAGTGACATGAGGAGCAGCTCTTTACCAGGAGGGGGAAGAAGACGCAGGTGGGGAATCCTTGAATCTGCTTTCTATAGAAGCAGACAGGATGTGTCTTCTCCGACCCCTTGATACTCTTCTATTTATGTCAGGCCTTCTGGGTGACTGTGCTCAGATTCTTATTTAAATCCAATTAAATCTGGGACTTGAGTAAACACAGATGTATATCATGCAGAAGATAGTAGTAAAGGATTCTGCATATAGGCCAGAGCAGCTGTATCTTTTCTGCTATTTAAGGTTTGGGTTTTTTCTTAGTATCTTGGAAAGAAAAAGTGGCAGTAAATATTGGCGGTTTTAATTTTATACAAAACCAGAGTGTCTCCTTTTTCTGGCCTTTTCTCTTGGCCTAGGCCAGATTGACTTTATTATAACAATCTGATCGGGCCCCTCTCCTTCCTGTGGCGACCCACTATCCACAGAAAAAAGTTCATTCCCAGGGGGACCTCAGACTCCCTTCATGACGGGTTCCCCCTTGGCTACATAGCCTAACATCCTGCCACGTCTCTCCATCCAATGCAGACTTTTGGGGTGTCCCCACTTCAGAGCTCTTTCACCTCTGCACACTTTATCTTGCCTGAAAGTGAGAATTACAGAGTCTGGAGCAAAACTGCCACCCATTATGGCTCTGCGCCTTCATTAGTGGTGTGACCTTAGGCAAAGTACTTAATCTCTCAGTGCCTCAGTTTTCTCTTGTCCAGTAAAAGAATGGTAGTGGCTAACTAGGCTCACAAGGTTGTTGGCCTTAAATGCATTAATGTGTAAAATATGCAGAGCAGTGCCTGGCACATAGGAAATAGTTAATATTTTTAACTTCTACATATCCCACAAGACTAAGCCTAAACATCATTTTCTGTGGGAAGTCTTACCTGAAAAAGCCTCCCCTCCCCTGTCTAGGAGAGTTGATTTGTTTAATTTTTCCATTTTGTCTGCATCTCCTATTACTGCATTTATGTCCCTCAACTACCAATCCACATCCTCTTATCCCCACATCCATTATCATCATGTATGTATGTGTGTACCTGATCCTCAAGTAGCATGTGGGCTCTGTAAGGGATGGTCCTCTATCTTAATTGGCCTATACTTTCCAGTGGGTAGTATAATAACCCCTACATTGTAGCTGTTTAGTGAGTGTCCAACAAAAGCATATGCAAGCATGTTCCTGAGGAATAGGATTACACGTGCACTGTCTCAGTACTGAACTGTTTCTAGAAAGAAGGTGCTGTGGTTTGGATGTGTCCCCTCCAAATCTCATGTTGGACTGTGATTCCCAGTGTTGGAAGTGGGGCCTGGTGAGAGGTGTCTGGATCATGGGGATGAATCCATCATGAATGGTTTACCACTATCCCCTTGGTGACAAACGAGTTCTTGCTCAGTTAGTTCACGTGAGATCTGGTTGTTTAAAAATCGGAGACCCCCTCCACAACCCTCCCTTTAAAGTCATCCTGTGCACTTTACCTTTATTAATTCATTTAACCCTAACAACAACTCTATAAGGTAAGTGCTTTATTACCCTTATTTTACAGACGAGGAAGCTGAGGCAAAGTGACAAAGTAGGGTTTGAACTCAGTCTTGCTCCAGAAATTATGCAGAGTCAGTTAAGACTAAGTTCTTCCATGCTGGGTCCCCCCAGAAGTCATCTGACTTCCCATCTTAAATGGTTTTTAATGGTTGTTTTATTTTCTTTTTATTGTCATCTTTGGCAGAGAAATTGACTCTGGCTTATTCAGTCTTCTTAACAGAAGACCTACTGATTTTGAGATGTTAGACCGATTAGAGAGGAAAATAACAGCAACACAAAAAGGGGAATAAGAAAATAAACCTCTGAAGAATTTGATGTTTGAGTCTAGTGTTGTATGTAAAAGCACTTTGCAAGTTGCAAGGCAGTGGTTTTCAAACGATGATGTATTCAAACTATGATGTATTCCAGAACAACCAGGAGAGCTTGTTAAAAATGCCGACTTCCCAGTATCACCCTCAGAGATTCTGATTGCAAGAATCTGGGGCCTTGCCCAGGAATCTGCCTTGTTAACAAGCTCCCAGGTGACCTTGATGCAGGTGGTCCAAGGTGCTCACCTTGGAAACACTGCTGTACATATGGGGCTTAGAAACGAGAGCTAGCAAATCCCAGAAGAATACTTGCCTGTACGATAATTCAAACCACCTGAGTGGTAGCTTATTAGTGCTTTTCTGGTTCCCCGGTAACTCACTAGCTTTCGGCCAAGGAACTTGATTGAGAGGGTATTGATGGGGAGGAAGGGGAGGAAAAGAAAGGAATAGGGCCAATTAAAACCACCTTCCCACTGAGGTGATTGTTTCTCTGTGGACAATGAAGGAGCTGTGGAGCACCTTCTTCCTTCAGTGTCTCCCTAATTGGCTGTTGTGACTATCATTCTGCCCTGAGGGAGGTTAATAGAAACAAGAGAGAGAAGAAAAGGATGCCAAGTAACTTAGAGCAGGAACAAAAAAGGAGCTGGAACTCATTTCCACCAGGACAGAGAGAAGCCCTGATTGGTCTCTTTCCCTAAGGTCCTCTTTCACACATCTCTACGACCTTTCCCCTCCTTTTTTCTTTTCTCCCTCAGAGGGACCAATAAACATGGGTTGTCTGGACAAGCAGTGCTTTATTAATGATCCAGGGAAAATTCCGATGACCCAGAATTCTGCCATAAAGTGATATCGTGTTATTGCAAAGTGATAGTGTTCTTAACCTCCTTGCTGAACCACATTTTTTTTTTTTGAGATGAACAACAGCCAGAGGCTCTTTTATTCTGAGCATCTTTCCAAGAGAACAGTTGAGTTATTTGGATTTTCATACTGGACCGTTACATGGCATGTATTAACAGTGTGTGCTATAAACAACTTACCTTTCGCTGAACTAAGTAATTTAAAGTAATTTTAACAACATAGTTTGGCATCGTGATTAAGATTTCCTGGCTTCAATCCTAGCTCTGCAAATCACTAACTGTGTGTCCTCGAAGGTGACTTTACATCTCTAAGCTGCAGGTTCCAATCTGTAAAATTGAGATAATAATAGGACCTCCCTCCCAACATACACACACACAAACACACACATACAACAGCGAATTGTTATGACCACCAAATGAGACAGTACATGTAAAATACAGTGCCTCACCCACAGTAAGCCCACAATAATGGTGGCCTCCATTGTTTTTTATTTTTCTGAATTATTATTTGATATTTCTAACATAATAATTGCTGAATTGCTGGACAAAAAAAAAACCTAGAAAAAAAGGAACTTTTTAAAAAGTGTCTCCTCTCTATTAGCATTGAACTTCAAATGCTCATAGCACACTGTAAGCAGAGCAACAGATGGATTCCATCCAACGGGAAGGACACACAACTTAGGAAGCAAACAGACATAGGAGAGCAAGATAAATCACTTAGTTGCTTACCACACACATTGTGAGATACCGAATGTGGATTAGAAGTTTCTTACCAATAGTTGGGCCTCCGTTTCTTGAATGGTTTTATATTTCCGGACTGCAAACAAATGATTATATGTGTGAAAAAAATATGGAATAGGCAGGAGGACAAATTCAAGTGAACCAGAATACCAGGGGCTCTGGTGTTCTCTTGGAGCTCTCTGCACCGGGTAAATCCTTTGAGTGTAGGCTTGCTGACAGCCGTCTCATTCACACGCAGGTTCCTCCCGGGTATAGCTCTGAGAGCAACAGCCCCCAGTCAGTGCAGGGTTACTAAGCAACTATACTCCCACTGAGGTATGCAATAAGAGAAAGTCTTGATTTTAAAAACAAAAGAAAACCAAAACACCATAGTAAGCAGAGCTAATAATACAACCTGCTCTTCTCCTTTGAGTATGTTAACCCTCAAGCTAGTTTACCTTTACCAGCATATCACAACCTCATGGAAATCAAATTAGAAAGCATGCTGCAGTTGTATAAAGTAACTTCAAGCAATGTTTTAAATTACTGCTAATACATTTCATGTTAAAATGGCACCTTATATAGTGAACCCTTTTGTGTGTATCATCTCTCAACAGGGCACCTTAATGGAGGGCGATTGTCATTTGAATAATGGTTTTAGCAACTAAGTCAATGTTTAGTTTTGGACTTAATTTTTTATTGTTTTTGTATTATCTAAGTTATACATTCTTATGACATAAATTATTATTTTTGAAGTAGCTAATACAAAGATAATGACAAGGAATCGTTGACTGGATCTTTAGAGTTTAAGGATTCCAAATAGTTCTGTACATGTTTACATGTTCCCTACATATCCCCTTAGGAGGACACAGAGAAACACTTCCTTGTTCTGATTCTTACTTTGATTAACATTTGTTAAGCACTCAATTTGTGCAGAGAACTATGTGAGACACTGGAGTTGAAGAGGGAGAAGGAAGAAGATGTACAAGGAGACAATACAAGGTCCAACCATGCAAAGAAGTGTTGTATAGTTTTAATGAAGGAGATAAAATTGTACACAGATACTACAAGAGGCAATGAAAGGAGGAATTAAGATATTCTGAATGATGTAATAATTATAGAAATCACTAGCTTCAAATTGCCAAATCAGAACATTACAGTTCTAATCTACTGGGATAGGGCAGGAGAGCAGTACAGAGGGAATGTTAAAGAATTAGAGCTCTGGCCGGGCGCGGTGGCTCACGCCTGTAATCCCAGCACTTTGGGAGGCCGAGGCGGGCGGATCACGAGGTCGGGAGATCGAGACCATCCCGGCTAAAACGGTGAAACCCCGTCTCTACTAAAAATACAAAAAATTAGCCGGGCGTAGTGGCGGGCGCCTGTAGTCCCAGCTACTTGGGAGGCTGAGGCAGGAGAATGGCGTGAACCCGGGAGGCGGAGCTTGCAGTGAGCCGAGATCCCGCCACTGCACTCCAGCCTGGGCGACAGAGCGAGACTCCGTCTCAAAAAAAAAAAAAAAAAAAAAGAATTAGAGCTCTCAAATAGAAATGAAAGTGGGTATGACAGCATTCTATACATTCCAGCCTTTTCAACATCATGGTGTATGTGCATAGACAGATAAATAGATAGGTAGACATAATTTTATTTTTACAATGCCTCGAGGTGTAAAGGATTTGTGTCAGAGGAAAACAAGTCACCAGCGACCTAGGCCTTGTCCAGCTGCTTCCAAGGTTAACAGGACTGGTGCCTCTGAGGCCCACCATACCCACTGGGAAGCTCTGCATATTTGAGACATGCTCCTTACATGGATTTTCCCACTAGAGAGTCAGAATCTCAAATATAATATGAAGGAATGTTGGCCCAACATAGTTGACCATGGTACATGTGATGTGGCATGGTTAGCAAGGCGATATGAGCCGGGATGGAACTCCAGCCTGTACACTCACTAGCTTCCATCACCTTGGCAAGTTAGCTCACTTCTCTAAGCTTCATGAAAATGTCACTAATAAACTGGGATGCCCTGCTGAGCCATGTCGGAGCCTGAAACAAAACGAAGACTGCGTGTTCCTATATACGTTATCAAAATAGCCCCCTTTATTGTGAATCAAATGGGAATAGTTAACTGGAGCTTTTCAGGGACAAATCATGACTTCTGTTTAAAGCTCTGCATTGCCCAATCTGTTTGCATGACATTATCAACCCTAATAAACTGGCTGGTGGGGCATGCTGCTGATTGGAAATGACTGTTCCTGTTGCACAATAACACAGAGTTGTAGAACAAAACAGCCTGTTTTTATTTAAAATTATGGTGTTTATGCTTTGTGAAAGCTTGGCATTAATTTTTTTTTAATATTTCATTAAAATATTATTTACATTGAGTGCTGGGTTTTTTTGGTTCCCCATTAAATGTTGCTTGCCCCTGTGGTGAATGCCTCACTTTCTTCACCCTAATTGGGGTTCCAAAAAATGTACTTTGAAGGACCACTATAACTACAAATAAAGACTATAAAATATCTTTATAAAATCTGTACTTAAAAATAATAGTCATTGCTATATGATTTTATAATACCTAACAGATTCCTTAGCTATTAGTGAATGTGTTTTCTGAGAGTCCCTGAAAAAGCAGTGTGAAAGAGAACAATACGCAGTTTATTCAACATGCTGAAAAGATACACAGTGAGTTCTGAAATCTGCCTCCGCTCCTGTCACCAAGGAAATGCTGATGACCCTTAACCAGAATATACAAGGGAAAGGTGCTGGCCCAGCTGGGATTTCTCTTCTTCCAAGTTCTGGGAACTCTCTTGTGTATCCAAGACAATCTGCTCTCTGATGTCCCCTCTGTCGCTTTAGACTCCCAACAATTATACTCAGATAGCTTTTAGTCTTTGCTTGTACCAAAAATGCTCGAAGTACTGAGTTTACCAATAGATTTCCATAAAAAATTCTGATTCCCTCCTTTAGGTTCAGCAAGATGCTAAAGGACAGCTTGACTAATTGTACCATCATTCCTTCTGTCTTCCTCATAGGTAACTCTTCTTTCTGGGCCAAAATTGATTCTCTGTGGACAGACATGAGGATTTTAAATTCCTTCTTTGGCAGGAAGAATAACTGCCTGACAGAAGGGTGACCCAATGTGTTTCCCTGTTAGCAGGTTCGCAGTGGTGGCTTCTTTCCTCAGCATCAGCAGCAGCAGCAGCAGCTGGAAAGCATTCCTATTGAACCACTTCACGTCCAATACCGGGAGAGCTACAGAAAATAAACTAACATGAAACATCATCTGCCTTTGCCTCTGAGAATGGTACCCCAGGGCAATTTGATGGCAAGCACAATAAAGGCACCAATGTGCAGTTGCATTAAACAAATACTGAAAAATTAGCACATTGACTATTTCTAATTATCTCCATTTATTCTGTAACGTGGTGTCTAGAGGAAATGGTTCTGTGGTAATTCTGCAAGATGTTGCTTTCAGCCTAGGAAGACAAATAAACAGGTACTACTTTAGCTTTTCCTTCTCTTGGTTGTTCACAGAGTGAAAAAAAAAAAAAACCCAACTTGTTTAAAAATTGAAAAAATATTACCCATCAAAAGAGAAAGTGCTTACAAAAGGAAAGACTTGACAAAATGTAATATGTAGACACAGCACCAGGCTTTTCACTTCTGATGAATTTGCAGCCTAAATACTAAAATATGCTGTTTCCCATTTCACCTTGTTTCCACAGAGACCAGGGCTGACAAAGAGCCCGTCACCAACAGTTACCGCCCTTTGTCTGCCCTGGATGCTGAAGGCTGCATGAGCAGAGAATGAGCAAATGTGGGATAAATGTAAGCTGCTGATTTCATTCACACTTGGAACCTTATCTCTTTCATATTTCAGTCGCTAAGGAGTTCTCAAATTTGCCTCAAACTGACTCATTTTACACTCTGGCTTTTCTTCCATCTACCTTTTCTTCTTTGTGTGTAATAAAAATAACACAATAACATATGGAAAGATAGAGAGCAAAAAGTTAAGAATCACTGATAATTTTCCAAACGAATTTTAAATAATCAAAAAATAAATACAAACTAATATTTGGATATATTTTCTTCCAGATTTTTCCCTGGCTCCTTCTCCTTATATATTTATTCTGTGTGTTCTTTCCCACTTATCTGAAATACCACTGAGTAAGTGAATTCCCAAGTATCCTTAGGTCTGTTTCTAGACTCAGTTCCAGTGACTTTTTTTTCCATATTAACTTGCAGAGTTCTGAAGGCTCCTTAGATCCTTTGTAATGTGGATCTAGAGGAATTAGGGGAGAGGATCAGTCTGCTATAAGCACGAAGACTAGGTCTCCCAGCCCTCCTTTTACCAGACCAGCTTTTATTTTTTAACAAACTTTGGACTTCTCTGTTGGATTTTGTTTGAGTAAAGGGCTTTGTGGCAAAACCAAAATAAAATAAAAACGTCACATATTCTGTTTCATTTTTCTGTAGGGTACATGAAATTTTGATGTTATGCTTTTGTAGCAGCCATTTGAATGTGTCAATATTGATATTATTGTTTTCTAGTGATGATGCTTCCATACAGACTAAAAAGCAATGATACATATAAATCACACATGAGTACTATGTAAAATAGATTCCCTCATCTACTCCCTGAGCCAACTCTGTCCATCGTCACCCTCTTCTGATGTCCCCTACGATGCCTTTGTCCATTCCAGGGAGAGAACAGAGTTCTCACAAGACCTGGGCTCATCCCTGGCTGCTCTCAAATCATTAGTAATGGGAAATCCAGATGTACTTCCTAAGACCAGAGAAATCCACAGTGGCTGAACATGACTTGCTGCCTAGAGACTGACTGCCCACATGCTGCACTATTTTTCTTCTCATAGTAACTTCCATATGCAAAATACGGAACTTCCATGTCCCAGTTGCTCCATGTCTGTCTTTATCACCACCCTACTGCTGGACCGTTCTCCCTCACATTCCCCATACTCACAAACAAAGCTCTTTAGGCCTCTCCACACTCATTTTCTGCTCCAAAAGTAATCATTTTCCAGGATTACTGAGAGAAGGACTATTCTTTCTGAGTTGGTAAAATATCCACTTTGTAAACCAGCATGTAGCCTTCCCTCATGACCCAAGCAAGAAAATAACGAAAAAGTTTTATACTGGCCTAACCTATTACCTATTTATATGTAATATGCTTTATCTATCCTACTCATGAATATTTCATCAGAGAAGTCAAGTAAGCAAAGAAATCTGTGCATCTTCTGAGAGTTTTTCTCATTTACATGTTAAATGGTCTGGCCCTCAATACTGTGATTTCTCTCTTGATGTGGCTATGATCTTGTTCATTTACATTCAATTAGTGAATGATTTGACTGTTTACTAATGGCACTTACTGAAAATCTAAAAGATACACATTTCCATTTTTGTGGACTTTCTCATTATTCTAAATCTATTTGAATGAATGCAAAGTAGGTACAATGGAGCAGTAGATGTGGGAATGGGGGGATATTCAGACCTCATATAAATGATGACCATTTATTCAATACGTTCAATGATTATGTTAATTATATTATATTTATAATCATAGTTAATAAGGATAAAATAAATATATTATTGGAGGCTAAGTTATTACAGGCTTTTGAAATATTTTATTGAGTTAATATGACTGTAAAACTGATATATATTTAATTTTAATATGCCAACAGTGTGGTATTAAACAAAGTAAAAGTTTTTCCTCATTGGTTTAAGGGTTAAAGATAGAATAAGGGTCAAGAATTTTTTCAATACACATTTCTTGGTAATAAGAAATGTTTTTTATACTATAGCAGGGTCCTTTTGGTGTGATTATGTAAAAATATCTCAGTTTGGAGGTCTACACCAAAATCACAGAGTTTTAATTGCTGTAGTTACATAAAGCAATTTAATATCTAGTGGGGCAAAGCTATACTATGAAATAATTACTGTTATTTTTTCCTTAGGATTTTATTGGTGGATCTTACTTGCTTAGTCTTCCAGATATACTTTAGAATCATTTGGTCAAGAAATGAATTAAACTTTGACTTTATGGAAGTAGTATTTTGGGCAGCTAAAAGAAATTACAATATCTGTAGGCATGATCTTTAAACGCAACTCTATTAAATTATATCGACATTCTGCTTCAGTGAGGATCACCAGAAGCTCTGTTGACGTTTAATGCCTAACATTTGTCCTCATGGTAAATTAGAACTTGTGAACACAGTTGGTGGTTCATTCTATTTTTACACTCTATTTTTTCCAGAATGTCTGAGAGGTGTGAGCAGGTCATCCTGATCCATCAGCACCTCATGAAGGTGAGGTGTCATTAGACCCTCAGTTGACGGCTGCCCTCTTTATACGGATCATATGGTATAAGCTGTTGTCAAGGAAAAGCATAGATGTGGAAAGGAGGAACAAACTTTAAACTACAAGTAGGAAGGTGGGCTATGAAAGACTAATTTTGGTCTTCCTGCTGGTTATTCTTTATTCTTTTAGAAAATATATTCAAACATATATGTACATGCAGTTTCTGGTTGGCAACACAAACTTACCACCTGTTCACTTGCCTCTTCGCCTTTGTCTTATGTTTTTGTAGGTGGCCATGAACAGGAACACACTTAAGTTACCTCACGGTTATGGAATTTTATTTTAAAGAGTCCTGGTGAAATGAGCAGTCATTCACCTCTTTCAGGTTCTGAGAAAATGAGAACCTTGTAGTGGTAGTTAAATATAAGGATGCCCGTTGAAATAAGAATGACAGAAAATAACGAAAGAGTTTTATACTGATATATATGTATTACATATTTGAAGTGTGGGTTATCTGTCCTACCTATAAATACTTTCTCACATAAGCGGAAAACAAAAATCCTGGGCATTTTCTGAAAATATACAAAAGACAATTTGCATATTAAACGGTCCACCTCTTGAATACTATGATTTCCCTCTTGACTTTATCATGGTCTTATTCATTTACATTCAACTAATACATTATTTGACAGTTTAATAGAGCTGCTCACTCAGGCTTCAAGGAACTAGAACAGGATTTAAAGTGGCATCAGAACACAATGCCTCCACTCTAATATGCTGTCCTAGTAGTGATTCAAGTTATCTGCTTTTACTTCTTCTGAGACTATTGACCCTTTCAGACTAGTTCCCTCTACTCTTCTTTTTATTTATTTATTTATTTATTTTTATTATTATTATACTTTAAGTTTTAGGGTACATGTGCACAATGTGCAGGTTACATATGTATACATGTGCCATGCTGGTGTGCTGCACCCACTGACTCGTCATCTAGCATTAGGTATATCTCCCAATGCTATCCCTCCCCTCTCCCCACCCCACAACAGGCCCCAGAGTGTGATGTTCCCCTTCCTGTGTCCATGTGTTCTCATTGTTCAATTCCCACCTATGAGTGAGCATATGCGGTGTTTGGTTTTTTGTCCTTGGCGATAGTTTACTGAGAATGATGATTTCCAATTTCATCCATGTCCCTACAAAGGACATGAACTCATCATTTTTCATGGCTGCATAGTATTCCATGGTGTATATGTGCCACATTTTCTTAATCCAGTCTATCGTTGTTGGACATTTGGGTTGGTTCCAAGTCTTTGCTATTGTGAATAATGCCGCAATAAACGTACGTGTGCATGTGTCTTTATAGCAGCATGATTTATAGTCCTTTGGGTATATACCCAGTAATGGGATGGCTGGGTCAAATGGTATTTCTAGTTCTAGATCCCTGAGGAATCGCCACACTGACTTCCACAATGGTTGAACTAGTTTACAGTCCCACCAACAGTGTAAAAGTGTTCCTATTTCTCCACATCCTCTCCAGCACCTGTTGTTTCCTGACTTTTGAATGATTGCCATTCTAACTGGTGTGAGATGGTATCTCACTGTGGTTTTGATTTGCATTTCTCTGATGGCCAGTGATGGTGAGCATTTTTTCATGTGTTTTTTGGCTGCATAAATGTCTTCTTTTGAGAAGTGTCTGTTCATGTCCTTTGCCCACTTTTTGATGGGGTTGTTTGTTTTTTTCTTGTAAATTTGTTTGAGTTCATTGTAGATTCTGGATATTAGCCCTTTGTCAGATGAGTAGGTTGCGAAACTTTTCTCCCATTTTGTAGGTTGCCTGTTCACTCTGATGGTAGTTTCTTTTGCTGTGCAGAAGCTCTTTAGTTTAATTAGATCCCATTTGTCAATTTTGTCTTTTGTTGCCATTGCTTTTGGTGTTTTAGACATGAAGTCCTTGCCCATGCCTATGTCCTGAATGGTAATGACTAGGTTTTCTTCTAGGGTTTTTATGGTTTTAGGTCTAACGTTTAAGTCTTTAATCCATCTTGAATTGATTTTTGTATAAGGTGTAAGGAAGGGATCCAGTTTCAGCTTTCTACATATGGCTAGCCAGTTTTCCCAGCACCATTTATTAAATAGGGAATCCTTTCCTCATTGCTTGTTTTTCTCAGGTTTGTCAAAGACCAGATAGTTGTAGATATGCGGCGTTATTCCTGAGGGCTCTGTTCTGTTCCATTGATCTATATCTCTGTTTTGGTAACAGTACCATGCTGTTTTGGTTACTGTAGCCTTGTAGTATAGTTTGAAGTCAGATAGTGTGATGCCTCCAGCTTTGTTCTTTTGGCTTAGGATTGACTTGGCGATGCGGGCTCTTTTTTGGTTCCATATGAAGTTTAAAGTAGTTTTTTCCAATTCTGTGAAGAAAGGCATTGGTAGCTTGATGGGGATGGCATCGAATCTGTAAATTACCTTGGGCAGTACGGCCATTTTCACGATATTGATTCTTCCTACCCATGAGCATGGAATGTTCTTCCATTTGTTTGTATCCTCTTTTATTTCCTTGAGAAGTGGTTTATAGTTCTCCTTGAAGAGGTCCTTCACATCCCTTGTAAGTTGGATTCCTAGGTATTTTATTCTCTTTGAAGCAATTGTGAATGGGAGTTCACTCATGATTTGGCTCTCTGTTTGTCTGTTGTTGTTGTATAAGAATGCTTGTGATTTTTGTACATTGATTTTGTATCCTGAGACTTTGCTGAAGTTGCTTATCAGCTTAAGGAGATTTTGGGCTGAGACAATGGGGTTTTCTAGATATACAATCATGTCATCTGCAAACAGGGACAATTTGACTTCCTCTCTTCCTAATTGAATACCCTTTATTTCCTTCTCCTGCCTAATTGCCCTGGCCAGAACTTCCAACACTATGTTGAATAGGAGCGGTGAGAGAGGGCATCCCTGTCTTGTGCCAGTTTTCAAAGGGAATGCTTCCAGTTTTTGCCCATTCAGTATGATATTGGCTGTGGGTTGGTCATAGATAGCTCTTATTATTTTGAAATACATCCCATCAATACCTAATTTATTGAGAGTTTTTAGCATGAAGGTTGTTGAATTTTGTCAAAGGCCTTTTCTGCATCTATTGAGATAATCATGTGGTTTTTGTCTTTGGTTCTGTTTATATGCTGGATTACATTTATTGATTTGCATATATTGAACCAGCCTTGAATCCCAGGGATGAAGCCCACTTGATCATGGTGGATAAGCTTTTTGATGTGCTGCTGGATTCGGTTTGCCAGTATTTTATTGAGGATTTTTGCATGAATGTTCATCAAGGATATTGGTCTAAAATTCTCTTTTTTGGTTGTGTCTCTGCCCGGCTTTGGTATCAGGATGATGCTGGCCTCATAAAATGAGTTAGGGAGGATTCCCTCTTTTTATATTTATTGGAATAGTTTCAGAAGGAATGGTACCAGTTCCTCCTTGTACCTCTGGTAGAATTCGGCTGTGAATCCATCTGGTCCTGGACTCTTTTTGGTTTGTAAGCTATTGATTATTGCCACAATTTCAGATCCTGTTATTGGTCTATTCAGAGATTCAACTTCTTCCTGGTTTAGTCTTGGGAGAGTGTATGTGTCGAGGAATTTATCCATTTCTTCTAGATTTTCTAGTTTATTTGCATAGAGGTGTTTGTAGTATTCTCTGATGGTACTTTGAATTTCTGTGGGATCAGTGGTGATATCCCCTTTATCATTTTTTATTGAATCTATTTGATTCTTCTCTCTTTTTTTCTTTATTAGTCTTGCTAGCGGTTTATCAATTTTGTTGATCCTTTCAAAAAACCAGCTCCTGGATTCATTAATTTTTTGAAGGGTTTTTTGTGTCTCTATTTCCTTCAGTTCTGCTCTGATTTTAGTTATTTCTTGCCTTCTGCTAGCTTTTGAATGTGCTTGCTCTTGCTTTTCTAGTTCTTTTAATTGTGATGTTAGGTTGTCAATTTTGGATCTTTCCTGCTTTCTCTTGTGGGCATGTAGTGCTATAAATTTCCCTCTACACACTGCTTTGAATGCATCCCAGAGATTCTGGTATGTTGTGTCTTTGTTCTCGTTGGTTTCAAAGAACATCTTTATTTCTGCCTTCATTTTGTTATGTACCCAGTAGTCTTTCAGGAGCAGGTTGTTCATTTTCCATGTAGTTGAGCAGTTTTGAGTGAGATTCTTAATCCTGAGTTCTAGTTTGATTGCACTGTGGTCTGAGAGATAGTTTGTTATAATTTCTGTTCTTTTACATTTGCTGAGGAGAGCTTTACTTCCAAGTATGTGGTCAGTTTTGGAATAGGTGTGGTGTGGTGCTGAAAAAAATGTATATTCTGTTGATTTGGGGTGGAGAGTTCTGTAGATGTCTATTAGGTCTGCTTGGTGCAGAGCTGAGTTCAATTCCTGGGTATCCTTGTTGACTTTCTGTCTCGTTGATCTGTCTAATGTTGACAGTGGGGTGTTAAAGTCTCCCATTATTAATGTGTGGGAGTCTAAGTCTCTTTGTAGGTCATTCAGGACTTGCTTTATGAATCTGGGTGCTCCTGTATTGGGTGCATATATATTTAGGAAAGTTAGCTCTTCTTGTTGAATTGATCCCTTTACCATTATGTAATGGCCTTCTTTGTCTCTTTTGATCTTTGTTGGTTTAAAGCCTGTTTTATCAGAGACTAGGATTGCAACCCCTGCCTTTTTTTGTTTTCCATTTGCTTGGTAGATCTTCCTCCATCCTTTTATTTTGAGCCTATGTGTGTCTCTGCACGTGAGATGGGTTTCCTGAATACAGCACACTGATGTGTCTTGACTCTTTATCCAATTTGCCAGTCTGTGTCTTTTAATTGGAGCATTTAGTCCATTTACATTTAAAGTTAATATTGTTATGTGTGAATTTGATCCTGTCATTATGATGTTAGCTGGTTATTTTGCTTGTTAGTTGATGCAGTTTCTTCCTAATCTCGATGGTCTTTACATTTTGGCATGATTTTGCAGTGGCTGGTACCGGTTGTTCCTTTCCATGTTTACCACTTCCTTCAGGAGCTCTTTTAGGGCAGGCCTGGTGGTGACAAAATCTCTGAGCATTTGCTTGTCTGTAAAGTATTTTATTTCTCCTTCACTTATGAAGCTTAGTTTGGCTGGATATGAAATTCTGGGTTGAAAATTCTTTTCTTTAAGAATGTTGAATATTGGCCCCCACTCTCTTCTAGCTTGTAGAGTTTCTGCTGAGAGATCCACTGTTAGTCTGATGGGCTTCCCTTTGAGGGTAACCCGACCTTTCTCTCTGGCTGCCCTTAACATTTTTTCCTTCATTTCAACTTTGGTGAATCTGACAATTATGTGTCTTGGAGTTGCTCTTCTCGAGGAGTATCTTTGTGGCATTCTCTGTATTTCCTGAATCTGAATGTTGGCCTGCCTTGCTAAATTGGGGAAGTTCTCCTGGATAATATCCTGCAGAGTGTTTTCCAACTTGGTTCCATTCTCCCTGTCACTTTCAGGTACACCAGTCAGACGTAGATTTGGTCTTTTCACATAGTCCCATATTTCTTGGAGGCTTTGCTCGTTTCTTTTTATTCTTTTTTCTCTAAACTTCCCTTCTCGCTTCGTTTCATTCATTTCATCTTCCATCGCTGATACCCTTTCTTCCAGTTGATCGCATCAGCTCCTGAGGCTTCTGCATTCTTCGCGTATTTCTTGAGCCTTGGTTTTCAGCTCCATCAGCTCCTTTAAGCACTTCTCTGTATTGGTTATTCTAGTTATACATTCTTCTAAATTTTTTTCAAAGTTTTCAACTTCTTTGCCTTTGGTTTGAATGTCCTCCCGTAGCTCGGAGTAATTTGATCATCTGAAGCCTTCTTCTCTCAGCTCATCAAAGTCATTCTCTGTCCAGCTTTGTTCCATTGCTGGTGAGGAACTGCGTTCCTTTGGAGGAGGAGAGGCACTCTGCTTTTTAGAGTTTCCAGTTTTTCTGCTCTGTTTTTTCCCCATCGTTGTGGTTTTATCTACTTTTGGTCTTTGATGATGGTGACGTACAGCTGGGTTTTTGGTGTGGATGTCCTTTCTGTTTGTTAGTTTTCCTTCTAACAGACAGGACCCGCAGCTGCAGGTCTGTGTGAGGTGTCAGTCTGCCCCTGCTGGGGGGTGCCTCCCAGTTAGGCTGCTCGGGGGTCAGGGGTCAGGGACCCACTTGAGGAGGCAGTCTGCCCGTTCTCAGATCTCCAGCTGCGTGCTGGGAGAACCACTGCTCTCTTCAAAGCTGTCAGACAGGGACATTTAAGTCTGCAGAGGTTAGTGCTGTCTTTTTGTTTGTCTGTGCCCTGCCCCAGAGGTGGAGCCTACAGAGGCAGGCAGGCTTCCTTGAGCTGTGGTGGGCTCCACCCAGTTCGAGCTTCCCAGCTGCTTTGTTTACCTCAGCAAGCCTGGGCAATGGCGGGCGCCCCTCCCCCAGCCTCGCTGCGGCCTTGCAGTTTGATCTCAGACCGCTGTGCTAGCAATCAGCGAGACTCCGTGGGCGTAGGACCCTCCGAGCCAGGTGCAGGATATAGTCTCCTGGTGCGCCGTTTTTTAAGCCCGTCGGAAAAGCGCAATGCCTCGCCCTGCTTCGGCTCACGCACGGTGCACGCACCCACTGACCTGCGCCCACTGTCTGGCACTCCCTAGTGAGATGAACCCGGTACCTCAGATGGAAATGCAGAAATCACCCGTCTTCTGCCTCGCTCACGCTGGGAGCTGTAGACCGGAGCTGTTCCTATTCGGCCATCTTGGCTCCATATCCCCCTCTACTCTTATCTGCTTCGTTTTTGGGCTTCTTCTTATTCATGGTAAGTGACTACATCAACCCCTTCTTTCTCTCTGTCTCTCTCATCCTGTGCAACTCCACCCTGCCAAATCTTTCTGGATGTCTGGCCTTCAAACTCACCCAGAGAGAGAATCTGATTAGTTCAGCCAGTGACCATCCTTACTGAAAATTTTTGTCGTGGCCTTTAAATGGGCTATTTTTGTTTGTATTAGGCATCAGTCCCTAGTCCAGTTAACTGTGGCTGGGGCAGGGTCACATGGCAGAAAACATGAGTATCTGTGTCCAGGGAATCCCGCCCCCTGCAGCTGCTTTTCTCAGAAAGACACCATGCATGTGTCAGGCCTTCAGAGTGGAATGGACTGTTTAGTATGGGAAAATTTTAGATTTTCATTCCTTGTTGAAGACATCAACTCTTATTCTTCCATAAACATTGGTCTTGACATTGGTCACTGAAATGACAGAACATTGCAGAATGCAGCTCAAAGCAGCATGTGTTGGCAGCAGAGATTTCTTGGCCTTAGCCCCTCAAACAGAATCAGTGAGTGACTTCAGCCAGAAAGGTGTAGCTGCTGGTATGGTACCTGTTTCCTGTGTTTCCTAAGTCATACCAGCCTGGAGGTGGAACATGAAAATCAGCAGCCAAATAATGTTTTTCAAGGTCCACCCTCTTGTGCACTGAAAGAACTGCTCTCTCCCCCTTAAAATTTTACCAGTAGAGCTGTGGTTCCCAGAGGGTTTCTCCTATGTGTGGTGAGAAGTAAGCCTCTCAACTTCTTGCATTCCTGCATTCTATACCTCCTTTGTCTTGAATCCTTGCAATGAATACCCTGGCTGCAGTTGATGCCAACAGTAGTAACTGTGTCTCCTGCCAGAAACACCACTGCACCTGCTTCTGCTGCTGCCACTGCATTCCAGGCTGAGACTACTCCTACCTGCAGAAAAAGAGGTCACTACATAAATATCAAGGGTAACTATGTCCAATGTCGAGAGCGCTGACATCCAGCCACAGCTGCAGCAAACTCTGCTTCCACTAAAGTTACTGCTTTCTTTGCCAGTTCTGCTGTCACCACCATCCATGCCACTCCTGGTGCCTAACAGCTTGATGCCCCAGAGACATGTAAGGAAAAACAGCTTTTTAAACTTGTTCTTTCATTAAAATTTTATCTTCTACAAGCTCAGTCATGAGTCCACAGAAATTGAGCCAGAGTATAGTCTAGGTGAAATTTGTGTTCAGAATCACCCCTCTTCTTCAATATCACTGTGCAGGCATCTCTACCTCTCTGTATTTCTTTGGGATGAGTTATTTCCCACAAACTTCTTGGTTCCTCATGAGTATCAGAACAGATAGGTCTCAGCCACCCCACAAAGTAGCGAAGTGATTAGCTACTTCAGGGTAGTTAACTCTACCTAATTATGTAATTAATTAATTCATAGTCACCCAGGCTAAAAAAAAAATCTACAAGTATGTGTTTTAGGAGATTTAAGGATATCCTAATATACAAAATTGATATGAGGAAGAATTAAAATTTTATCAACTATACTCTTCAGTCTAAACAAAGAATACAGAAGGCAGGTGGTCTGCCTCAGTTACAGAAATAGGAAGATCAATATGCAAAATGTTTACATTTTTTATTCAATATCATCAGAAAACGAAGACACAGAATCTGGTAGACAAGAAGATCCCAGTCACTACAAATGTGTAGTCTGTTTTAGCACAAATACCTCATTATATTTCACCATGGCCTCAGAATATTTCATCAAGATTATTAAAGTATTATTGTGGTATTTCTATCTTTATTAAAATATGCTTGTGTATTATTAATAGAGTTTTTTCTGAGCACTAATAAATTTGAGGCAGTACAAATCACTCAAATGGACCTGTTGTGTAGATACCTGAATATGTAGAAAGAGGACTGACCTAGAGATACAAATTGGTGCATTTCAGTGTGTAGATGAAAGCAGGAGAGTAGATGAAATCATCTAGAGAAAGAATATAAAAAAGAGAATAGGGCTTCTAGTGAAGCCCGAAGGAACCCCAATATCTAAATAATGAATAGAAGGGAAGGACCTGGCAAACAAAATCAAGAAAGAGTGGCCCAGTGAAGTAGGAGAAAGACTAGAAGAATGGAATGTCATGGAAATTTAAGAGACTATTTCCAGCTGGAGAGAGTGGTTGGTGCTGTCCATGCTCCTGAATGACCCAAAAGTACGATTTTCTAAAAGTTAAAAACATGACTTTCATAAAACTATAAAATTCGCCCAAATCAAATAATTTTTTCAATTCATTAATTAAAGAAGGAAACAGTATGACTGGTTCAGAGGAGAATTTGAAGGCCAGATATTTGAATAGTCAAAGGCATAATAAAATTAATTTACTACTAAACAAAAAATTGGTTAATATCCTACAGGCCAATAAACTGTAATGTTTGGGGTTACCTTTTCTACCTGATAAAAATAAGTTGCATCTATTCTAAACCAAATTAGTTTATTGCAGTAGGCAGGAATAATTTGCATTTCTCTCAGTCCAGAATCACTTGCATTAATACCAGTTTTTCTCTATACGTTAATCTCTATTACCATTAAGTTGCAAAATAGCCTAGTCAATAAAAACTCAATCAAAGTTGCATACTCCTATAGAATTGTATAATACCCAGATGAGTTAGACAATGACTACATGACTAGTTTATTTCACTTAATATAATGACCTGCAGGCTCATCCATGTTGCTGCAAATGACAGGTTGTCATGGTTTTTGATGGCTGAACAGTATTGCATTGCGGATATATACTATTTTTTGTTATTTATTCATTGATGGATACTAAAGTTAATTCCATATCTTGGCTGTTCGGAATAGTGCTGCAATAGATATGGAGATGCAGGTGTCCCTTTGATACACCGATTTCCCTTCCTTTAAACAAATACCCTTAAGTGAAATTGTTAGATCATGTGGTAGTTTTTTTTTGAGAAATCTCCATATTATTTTTTATAATAGCTTTATTAATTTTACATTTCCACCAACATTATCGTTTTCTTCCATTCTACAGGCTGTCTCTTCATTCTATTCATTGTTCCTGTTGCTGTATGGAAGCTTTTTAGTTTAATACAGTCTCATTTGTCTGTTTTTGTTTTTGTTGCCTGTGCTTTTGAAGTCTTAGTCATAAAATCTTGGCCTAGACCTATGTCCTTAAGCATTTTCCCCTGTGCTGTCTTCCAGGAATTTTATATTTTGGGGTCTTATGTTTAAGCCTTTAGTTTATTTTGAGTTGATTTTTTCCTACTAGTTTTATATTTTTGAGTCTTATGTTTAAGCCTTAATTCATTTGGAGTTGACTTTTGTATATGGTGAGAGATAGGGTGTTAAATTTTATTCTTCTGTATATGGATGTCTAGTTTTCCCACCATCATTTATTATAGAAGGTATCTTTTCCCTAATGTATGTTCTAGGCACCTTTGTCAAAAATCAGTTGGCTGTAAATACATGGGTTTATTTCTGGGTTTTTAATTCTGTTCCATTGGTCTATGTGTCTGTTTTTATACTAATATCATGCTGTTTGGGTTACTATTGCTTTGTAGTATATTTTAAAGTCAGGTAGTGTGATGCCTCCAGTATTGTTCTTTTTGCTCAGGATTGCTTTCATTATATAATCACACGATCTTTTATGATTTCTTATAATTTTCAGGATTATTTTTTCTATTTCTGTAAAGAATGTCATTGGTATTTTGATAGGGATTAAATTGCTTTAGATAGTGTGGCCATCTTAGCAATATTAACTCCTCTGATCCATGAGCATGGGCAGTCTTTCCATTTGTGTTCTCTTCAAAATTTTTCATAGTGTTTTATGCTTTTCATTGTAGACGTCTTTCACCTCCTTGGTTAAATGTATTCCTAGGTATTTTTACTCTTTTTTGTAACTATTGTAAATAGGATTACTTTCTCAATTTATTTTTCCCCTAGTTATTGGTTTAAAGAAATGCTACTGATTATTGTATGTGATTTTTGTATCCTGCAACTTTACTGAATTTATTCTATCAGTTCTAAGCATTTTTGTTGGAGTATTTAGGGTTTTTTTAGCACACAAGATTATATCATCGCAAAAAAGGACAGTTCAATCCCCTCTTTTCCAATTCAGATGTCTTTTATTTCTTTCTTTTGCCTGATTGCTCTGGCTAGGACTTCCAATACTGTTTTGAGTAAGTTGGCAAAAGTGGGCATTATTGCCTTGTTCCAGTTCTTAGAGGAAAGTCTGTTAGCTTTTCCCCATTCAGTACAATATTAGCTGTGAGTCTGTCATATATATCCTTTATTATGTTGAGGCATGTTCCTTCTATACCTATTTTGTTGAGAGTTTTTATCATAAAGGGATATTGAGTTTCATCAGATGCTTTTTCTGCGTCTATTGAGATGACAATAGAGTTTTTGTCCTTCATTCTGTTAATGTAATATATCACATTTATTGATTTGCATATATTGAACTATCTCTGCATCCCTGGGATAAACCTCACTTAATCATGGTATATTACCTTTTTGATGTATTGTTGGATTCAGTTTGCTACTATTATATTGAGAGTATTTTTTTGCATCTATGTTCACCAGGGATATTGGCCAGTAGTTTTCTTTTTTGTTGTTATGTCCTTGTCTGTTTTGGTATCAGGGTCATGCAGGTCTTGTAGAATGAATAGGAAGCATTCTTTCTCCTTCAATTTTTTTTTTTTTTTTTTGAATCATTTGAGAAGAATTGGTGTTAGTTCATTATAAATTTGGTAGAATTCAGGAGTAAAGCCATTCGGTCCTGGGCTTTTGTTTTTTGAGAGGCTGTTACTGATGCAACCTCACTACTCATTACTGGTCTTTTCAATTTTTCTTCCTGGTTTAATTTTGGTGGGTTGTATGTGTCCAGAAATGTATCCCATATTTTTCTAGGTTTTCCAATTTGTTAGTGTATAGTTGTTCATAACAGTCTCTAATGATCTTTTGTATCTGAGTTGTAATATCTCCTTTCTCTTTGTTTTATTTTATTTATGTGGGTTGTTTCTCTTTTTTCTTGGTTAGTGTAGCTAGCAGTTTATCAATTTTGTTTATCTTTTCAAAAAAACCACCTTTGGTTGATCTTTTGTATTTTTTTTTTTTTTGTCTGTATGTCATTTAGTTCTGCTCTGGTCTTTATTATTTCTTTTCTTCTATTAGCTTTGGGTTGAAATTGTTTTTGCTTTTGTAGTTCCTTGAGGTATACCATTAGGTTGTTTATTTGAAATTTTTCTACTTTGTTGACCTAGGTATTTATTGTTATAAACTTTTCTCTTACCACTGCTTTTGCTATATCCCATAGGTTTTGGCATGTTGTGTTTCCATTTTCATTTGTTTCAAGAATTTTTTTTATTTTACTTTTACCTTTTTCATTGACCTAATGGTCATTCGGAGCATGTTATTTAATTTCCATGCATTTGTAGTATTTCTAAAGTAAAAAAATCTTGTCATTGATTTTTAGTTTTATTCCATTGTGCTCTCAGATGATACTTGGCATAAATTTGATTTTTACAGATTTCTTGAGACTTGTTTTGTGGCCTAACATATATTCTATCCTGGAGAATGTTCTGTTTACTAATGAGAAGAAAGTGTATTCTGCAACTGTTGAATCAAATATTTGGTAAATGTCTGTTATGTTCATTTGGTCTATAATACAGATTAAATCCAATGTTTCTTTGTTGATTTTCTGTCTAGACTCTCTGTCTAATGCTGAAAGTGGAATGTTGAAGTCCCCAACTATTACTGTACTGGAGTCTAGCTCTCTTTTTAGCCCTAATAATATTTGCTTTATATATCGGGCTGCTCCCTTCCTAGGTGAATATATATTTACAGTTTTTATATTCTTTTTCTGAATCGATCTCTTTATTATTATATAATGGCCTTCTTTGTTTGTTTCTCTCTAACATAAATATAAAGAAAGTCTGTTTCCTCTAACATAAATATAGCTACTTCTGCATGCTTTTGGTTTCAATTTATATGGAATATTTTTCCATCCCTTCACTTTCAATCTATGTGTGTCTTTACAGGTGAAGGGAGTTTCTTGTAGACAGGAAATAGTTGGATATTAAATTTTTTCAAAATCCATTCAATCAGGATGTATTTTAATTAATGGATTTAAACCATTTATATTCAAGGTTGTTATTAATAGGTGAGGTTTTTTGTAGTGATAACATTTGGATTTTTTCTCATTTGTGTATATGTTCTACCCATGAGTTTTATACTTTCATGTGTTTTCACAATGGTAGATATCTTCCTTTTTGCTTTCAGATGTAGAACTCCCGTGGGCATTTCTTGTAGGGCTGGTCTAGTGGCAATGAATTACCTGTTTTTGCTTTTTAAGGAAAGACTTTATATTTCTCCTTTAGTTTTGAAGGATAGAATTGTTAGGTAAAGTATTCTTGGCTGGAAGTTTTTTCTTTCAGTACTTTGAATATATCTCTCCATTATCTCCTGGTCTGCAAGGTTTCTGCTGAGCAATCCATTGTTAGTCTGATGATAATTCCCATATATGTAACTTGATGCTTTTCTCTTGCTGTTTTGAGAATTCTCTTTGTCTTTGACTTTTGACAGTCTGACCAAAAGGGGTCTTGGAGACCCCTTGTTGGTTGAATCTATGTGTAGATCTTGGAGCTTCCTGTATCTGGATGTATATATCCTTTGCAGGACTTCATAAGTTTTTAGCTATTATTTCATTAAATAGATTGTCTATGACTTTTCCCATATCTTCTCCTTTAGGAACTCCAAAAATGGAAATATTTGACCACTTTAACATGTCTCATATGTCATATAGGCTTTCTTCATTTTTAAAAATTCTTTATTTTTTGTCTGACTAGATTCTTTCAAAAGATTTTTCTTCAAGTTTAGAAATTCCTTCTTCTACTTGATCTAGTCTATTGTGGAAGCTCTTGATTGTATTTTTAATTTTATTCATTAAATTCTTTAGTTCCAAAATTTTGGTTTTGTTCTTTTTTTTATTATTTCTATCTCTTAATTAAATTTCTCATTCAGAACATGAATTGTTCTTTGTTCTTTGTATTGGTTATCTGTGTTATCTTGTATCTCACTGGTTTCAAAATACTAATATCAGTATTTTGAATCTTTTTCAGGCATTGCACAGACTTTCTTTTCTTTGGAATCTTACCGGATAATTATTGTGTTCTTTTGGAAGTGTCATGTTTTCTTGCACTTCCATGTTTCTTGTATTTTTAGGTTGATACCTGTGCATCTGTTGTAACAGTAGCTTCATCCAATTTTATGAATTTGCTTTTGTAGGTAAAGACTTTTTCCTGTAGATATATTACATTAGGTTGCTCTTGCATTGCTACAGAGAATACCTGAGACTGGGTATTTATAAAGAAAAGAGGTTTAGTTGGCTCACAGTTCCGTAGACTTTATAGGAAGCCTGATGCTGGCAACTGCACAGATTTTAGGGAGGCCTCTAGAAGCTTACAGTCATGGTGGAAGTCAAAGGGGAGCAGGCATGTCCTGTGGTGAAAGCAAGGGAGGGGAGGTGCCACACACTTTTAAAGAACCAGATCTCACAAGAATTCACTCACTATTGTGAGGACAGCACCAAGGAGATGGTGCTAAATCTTTCATGAGAAATTTGTCCCTGTGATAAAATTGCCTCTTACCAGGCCCCATCTCCAACACTGAGGATTACATCTCAACATGAGATTTGGGTGGGGACAAATGTACAAACTATATCATATATCTATACTGTTGGTTGGGTAGGGTGCTTTGGCTTTGATTCTGGGTGGGCACAGTAGTGTAGTCTCTGTATTTCTTTGGTTGTAATCAGCATTATTGATATCTGTGTGTTCCTTGTTTGGTTGTAATCAGCATTATTGATATCTGTGAGTTCCTTGGTGGCTTAGGCTGCAGGTCTTAGTGAAGACTGTGGTGAGGCTTTCCTGGGAAGACGGGCACCAGGCTGATCAGTCCTCTGGCACCAGTGATGGCAGTGATGGGCCAGGTGTGCTGGTCCTCAGGCTCCTTGGTGGTGTATGCTGGCACTGGCAGTTGTAAGCCCAGAGGGGGTTGGTCCTGCAGCCACCAGGTAACATGCTAAAGTGCCAGCAGTGCCAGGAGCAGGCCAGGTGTGTGGGTCATGTGTGGCATTAGCAGTGGCAGTAGCATTGACAGTCCAAACCTTGGGCTGCTGAGTGGCTCATGTGGGCACCAGTAGCAGTGGGCTGGGCAGTTCAGTCCTTAGGCCCCAGGAGGCATGTGCAGGCACTGGTGGTAGACTGGACAGGCTAGTCCTTATACCCTTGCACTACAAGTATATGAGTCAGTAGTGGCAGTTGGATTGAGCCTATACCCAGCCCCTAGACAATGTACATGGGCAGTACAGTGGGCAGGTTGGTAGTGGGTGGGGAGGGTTGATCCCCCATCCTCCAGATGGTGCACATGGGTGCTAGCTTTGGTGGTTATAGGAAGGGCAGGCCTGTCTTGAGATCCCTGCATGGTGCTCATCTGTGCCAGTGGCAGTGAGCAGGGCAAGTCTATTCCCAAATCCCTGGACAACATGCACAGACACTAGTGGTGGTGGGTGGGGCAGGTTAACCCCTAGGCTCCTGGATGATCCATTTGGGTGCCAGCAGCAGCAGCATTTGTATTGGGCCTGCCGTCAGCTATTTGAACGATTAAAATTTTCCTTTTTTAGTTCATTTTTGACTTCAGAAGCTCTGAAAAGTTCTGTGTGTTCTGCACAACTCCCATAGCAGCTGTGACAGAGAAACAAAGGAGTATGAGTTTCTATTTCACCAAGTGATCCTCAAGCCACACATCCCTTAAGAAAAATGGTTACATGACCCTGACACCCTAGGTGCTGCTAGTTAGATCAAGAGTAAGTTTCTGACTTAGGAAGAGACAATCTATAGGTTGGCCAATAACTAATAAGGTAGCTTGGTATAAGCACTCTCTCCAGCAAAGTTAATACCAACTACCAGAACCAAAAGATCTTCTCAGAAAGACTGAAAATTAGAAAATAATCAGCAGAGGAAATGAGTAATTGGAAAGGAAAAAAGAAACTGAAATGCACAAAGAAAGAAGAAAAAAAGCAGCTGTGATTAAGTGGAAGTCTAAAAAAAGAAAGAAGAGTTTCTTTTTTTAGAAACTCTCACACCCAAATGGGGAGTGAGAGCAATATTGGCAGAGAGAGCAATGGTAAAGAAAGAGATCAACTGCATTACAAGTACGGTGAAATTGCTATGATAGGTATCAATAGTCATGAGCTTCTGAGAGGACCGCTACCAGAATTTCCTTTCTCTGAGTCTCCAGAGTGGCAGTTGCAAGTACTGCTGTTAGAGATGCTAGAGTGTAGTAATTTTTCACAGGAAGATATATTTTTTATTTTGAGGATTAAATGATATTTTGTTAATGTGTCTTACTCTAATCAAGGTAATTTATTATTCTGATGTTTTCCAATAACAATCAGACTCTTTTTTTTAACTTTTATTTTAGGTTCAGGGCTGCATGTGTAGGATTGTTATATAGGTAAACTGTGTGTTTACCTATATAACACACAGTTATATGTGTATGTTCCTTCAATGCCTAGTTTATTGAGGATTTTTAACATAAAGGGGTGTTGAATTTTATCAAAAGCTTTTGTTGCATCTATTGAGATAATCATACAGCTTTGGTTTTGGTTCTGCTTATATGATGAATCACATTACTGATTTGTGTATGGTGAACCAACCTTGCACCTTATGGAAGAAACCTACTTGATTGTGGTGGATTAACTTTTTGACATGCTGCTGGATTTGATTTGCTAGTATTTTGTTGAAGATTTTTGCATCTATGTTCATCAATGATATTGGCCTGAAGTTTTCTTTTTTTAATTGTGTCTCTGCTAGGTTTTGGTATCAGGATGATTGCTGACCTCATAGAATTAGTCAAGGAGGAGGTCCCCCTCCTTAATTTTTTGGAATAGTTTCAGTAGGAATGGTACCAGCTCTTCTTTACACATCTGGCAAAATTTGTCAGTGAATCTGACTGGTCCTGGCTTTTTTGGGTGGGTAAGGTTTTTTAAATTATTATTGATTCAATTTCAGAACTTGTTATTGGTATGTTCAGGGATTCAATTTCTTCCTGGAGCAGTCTTGGGAGGTTGTGTGTATCCAGGAATTTATCTGTTTCTTCTAAATTTTTTAGTGTTCATAGAGGTGTTCTTAGTAGTCTCTGAGGGTATTTTGTATTTCTGTGGGGTCAGTGGTAATGTCTCCTCTGTCATTTCTGATTATGTTTATTTAGATCTTCTTTTTTTTTTTTCTTTATTAGTCTAACTAGCAGCTTGTCTATCTTATTAATTTTTTCAAAGAACCAACTCCTGGATTTGTTGATCTTTAGTATTTTTTTTTGTGTCTCAATTGTCTTCAGTAGTTCAGCTCTGATTTTGGTTATTTCTTGTCTTTTGCTAGCTTTGGGGTTGGTTTGCTCTTCTTTCTCTAGTTCCTATAGTTGTGATGTTGGGTTCTTAATTTGAGATCTTTCTAACTTTTTGATTTGAACATTTAGTGCTATAAACTTCACTCTTAATGCTACCTTAACTGTGTCCCAGAGATTCTGGTATGTTTTACCTTTGTTCTCATTGGCTTCAAATAATTTATTGTTTTCTGCCAGAAAGATATATTAAACCACTTTTAACTGATCATTTTTCCTCAACCAAGAACTGCAATTACATAGTCTGACAATAAATATATGCTTATAGGTTCAAGTGAATGAAAAAAGAACTATTCACAAAAATTTATCCTCATGCTTAGTGTTGGACAGTTTTAGCATTCTGTATAATATTAAGGACACACTATATTTAATGATTATTTTCTACCTTAAAGTTTTAGAAAGTTACTCAAACTAAACACTTCTGTAGGAATTGTGAACACTCTTGATTCACAAATATCTTTATCTTCCTAAATTCGTCCACTTATGTATGATACTTACTTTAAATGGGAAAGCAGAGAGACATTCCCTAGTTTCTTTAAAAATAATTTTTCGGAAACTATGAAGTTTCTTTTGTGAATAAAAAACGTATTTACGCTTTTTTCCTCCCCAGGACTATTAAACACTGTGTGGTAGTCCTTTATCAGCAGTGTTTATACTGCATGATTTTGTTTATTTAGATGGTTGTAGAGTGTAAAATTACAGGTTTGGTGGTTTGTAACCAGAATTTTCTTCTCCACTTCCACCCTCCTTTTACTTGAATTTTAAAGGTTTATTTATGCTTTGGCGGGGGTGGGGATATGTTTTTGTTTTCCTCTGTAGAGCAGATGAAGATTGTGTAAACTCCCCAAGGAATGCCCCATCGATTGATAATTGGGAAGAATTCCTCTTCACTGTGGAGCTGCATAAGTTTCAAGTCAAGTCATATAAAATCTTGGGTCAGACTGCAGATAGGATTTGTAATATCTACAGCTTTTCCATACCATAATAGTTCATTAGCTTGTTGTTAAAACTTCTCAGAAGGGATCCTATTCTCTTTTTAATTTAGGAAGCAATTTAGGAAGGCTGATTGACTCAAAGCAGGGGAGAATACCAATTTAGTTCATTTATTCTCTGTGTGAGATACATATAAATCTACTTTGAAAGAAGAATCTATAATGGGGTTGTTCACCTTTAGTTCTCTAAATAAATATGTTGCTACTTACACTATATCAAACTCTTGGCTGTTCTCAGCTCATCTTAATTTTGTGCTGTCCACACTCTTAAATCTCATGGACTCTTGGAAGCTACAGTCAATCTTCTTTTCATAAGTCTGCATGGCATTATAATTGTAGAATCCACCCAGCCCATGCACATCTATGTGGTATCAATTATATTAGTTCTTATTTGTATTTTTGTTTTGGAAGGCCAGGAAGTTCTGACTTTTTATTTGTTTTCAAGTAACAGAAAATCAACTTCAACTAATTCAGACAGCCAAAATAGGCAAAGAGATGCATTGGTTAATGAAAATTCAAGATTGAAGAAACAGGAAGGATGCAAATGCATCTAGCCTTAGATCAACAGGACATCTTGGCCTGATTTTTGCAAGATCGCTTTCTCGCTCTCTCTCTCTTTCTCTCTCTCATTCTTCCTCACCTTGACTCACTTTTGCTCTTCTCAGGGGGTTGGTTCATTCTGTTTCACTGAAGACTTACCTTCTTCACGAGGTAAGCTGGAGGTGTGGAATGTGAGCTGACAGCTTCTCAATTTCCCATTGTGTAGTTCTTATGCACTACAGAGGTACTGAGTCTCTTCTTTACCTGAGGGTTGAAATTGCTCAGGAAAGAGCTTTGAATGGCTCAGTCTGAAGAAGGTGTCTATCCCTGAGCTAATAAAAAAAACTAATCAACAGTGCTGCCTTGTAAGAACTTCGTGGCTTTCATAGGAACCACAGGCTGGATTGAGGAGGGGAGAGGAGATTAGGAGAGAGGTTCCAGAGGAAGAGGAGGAGCAAGGGCAGTTGGTATTAACAGAAAGAGGAAACAGTACATGCCCACTAGAGAAACAATACGTGTCCATGTCATACAACTCTCTGAGTACAAAATATTCTTTATCTTTGTTTAAGTAAATGAGCTGATGTATGCTGATTTCTCACTACCCTACATCCACTCCCAAATTTTTTTTTCTCCTTTTAATTTTGTGGGAAAAAAATAGGCTTATTTGTATGTACTTGATAATTCAGACTTTTTTATGTTATAAAATGTTGTCTCATAAAATTCAACTTTTTCCTTCATTTATTTGTTTGTTCATTGGCTATTCCTGGCTCCACAAAAAAGTTTGAAATGATTTAAAGAAAACACATTCAGACCCCTTCCATTATGTTGATGTGCTAAAAGTAAAACAAATCCTTCACATAGCCTGGGCTGAAAATAAACTATGATCTCAAATGCAGACTCAAAGCATCATCCTGAAACCCACCCTGCAGAAGTCTCATAAAACTGCCATTTGAGTCACTTTTTATTTCTTCAGACTTTACTCTAAAGGTTATGTAAGCATGGTGCAGCCCATGGCTCATCTCAATAATGGGTAAAGGAAAACTTCAAAAATCTCCCAGGAATTTCCTTTGGTTATAAATTAATAGAAAGGGTTGAATTGTTGACAGTCAATGGATAAATTTGACAAAGGATTACTCATTAAAAACACAAACAAAAAGAAACCAAAACCACGCTGGTTTTGAGAACTGACCTCACTAGCAATATTTTTTTTCCCTTTTCTTCCCCTTTTTGCCCTTTTTTGGATGGCTCTAAAGCATAAGGTACTGTTGAAAAATTGAACAGAGCAATTATTTTAGCACACCTTTCTTGCTTTACTTTCTCTGGCATTCATCTTTTCAGGAATAGTTGCAGAGTCTGTCCTGATAGGCAGAGAACATTGCCCACTGGAGGGCACTTTGGCATGCCTTATTCATGTAGTCGACCTACACTCATGAGAACCTACTGGGTGCCCGGTAGAGTTCTAGATGCTGAGGTTACAATCTGGAACAATCAGAGCAAGTAACAATCTCCATAACATTCATAATATTCTCTGGCTTTTCTTCTTAATTCTGTTCTTGGACTTTTTTTTTTTTACTTGATCTTATTTGGTTATCACATACAAATTTCCAAATATATAACTTCCAAATAGGTAGCAACGTGTGTCTAATAGAGTCTCATAAATCTGATGGCATGGAAATATGTCTGCATTTCTGGTTGCCACTTCAAATTCAATATTTTCTAAAAAGGAATCATCGCCATGTGCTTTCAGTGTCCTCCTTCATTTGGACACTGTTCTCTACATTTGGTAGTTATGGCTTCTCTATCCCCAGCCTGTCACTCAGACTTAAAATCCCAGGCACCATTCTAATGGCTTCAAACAGGTCTTTTTATCTCCAGTATTTCCTCTCTCTGCTCCAGATTAAATATTTTTGCCAGAGGAAAATTCATGACAAAAAAAATCGCTAAATTAGAGCATATATAGGAAATAATTTTGTAAACTCTGAAGGAATGTCCCATGCTGGCTTTTGTTTGCTTGTTCGTTTAAATGACTATGTTACTATCCAGCTGAGGAATTTTCAAACTCTTGAATCAGATGTTTGAGGCCCTATGAGATCTATTCCTTGTAATTATTTGCTTTCAAATTTTCTATGAATTGGATGACTTTAATTGTTCACTGTATCTTTCACAGCCACAATGAAGACACTTCTTGCTCAGATCATGCTTTTCCTTTGTCCTGGAATTCATATCTCCCAATACACTTCTTCATGCCTCTCTTCTTGCCAGCAACCACTTAACTCTGCCAGAAAGAGAGGCCATGTAGTAGGAGTAATGGAATTCCACAGGGCACAGGATAACTGTGGCTTCATGGGTCAGTTAACATAAACCTTTATTTGAAAATGTCAGTCGTAGGAAGGCTAGAAAGAAGTGTTCTAATTTGGGGAAGGAGGGTGAGGTTTTATGAGACTTTAGTGGTAAGGGGCCAGTCAATGAACACTAGTTTCAGAAATAGAACTAAAGAGATTGTTCTTGCAGTGTGGATAGTTGGACAGTCTGGAGTTTATTGAGAGTGGTGGGGAGGATGTGTTAGGGGCTAAGGTTATTTGCAAGAAGCAGTGGGGAGAAGAAATGCAGAGAAAGAGGACAGGAGGGCTGCAAGGGAAAATTGTCAGGCCTCAAGTCCTTCAGGGTCTCACAGTGCACTCCTATCTCCACTGTGGATTTGCCTTAGGGCACAGAGCTAATAAGATTGCTTCCAAATCTCAGAGACTGACCTCGAAATTTTCAGTAAAGAGAAAAATAAATGAAAGTCTGTGTTGTAAAAATTTTTTGTGGTTGATTTAACTTGCACAGACAAAGAACAACTGAAATCTTGAAATTTCCCAAAGAGTTATTGTTTGTGCTTGTCAGTACACCTGAGTAAAATCAAACTCTTAAGAATTATCTAATCTAACTTTACAGGTGGCTTCAGGTAGAAATAAACATCTAAATGCTTAGGGGCAAGTCAGGTGTAAAATATGCTTTGTGGAAACGCCTAATGAAGTTTGACATGACACGCTTTATTATAACAATGGATGATCTGATGGTAAGGGCCCTCGGGCTTTTGAGGCTCATTGGTGTCAATTTTGGGAACAAGGGTAAAAGATTATATCTTCAAGCTTCACTATTATGCTTTATTTTGAGGATCTCCTTAGAAATGTTTTTAGTTGTTGTGCAACAAAATACAGAAGACCCGTCATATCATTTTTATAGGTAAGATCCAGGATTATCATCAAGCTATAAATTTATCTTATGATATTTAGTCTGTATAAACTCAATTTTTTGAATCAATATAATAAAGCTAGATGTTTATTTCTTGGTTGCTCATATAAACTTTCCATTTGTATATGTAACAGATTTCTCAAATTTGGAATGTTTTATATTGAACTCCTGCTCTATCCACCAACCTGAAGACATTTCCATCTCAGAAAGTGGCACCAACCTCTTCCAGTTGCTCAGGCCATAACCTTGGAATCATTCTTGACTCCACTCTTTCTCTTATTTCTCAGCATTCAAATGATAGGCACATCCTGTTGATTCTCTCTTCAAAACAGATCCAGAGTCCAATCACTTCTCATTCCCTTCACCACCACCTTCCTGGTCCAAGCAATCGTCATCTGTGACCTGGTTGATAGTAATGGTCTTATTTTGGCCTCCCTGTTTCACTCTTACCCTATAGTGTCTACTCTCAGTAGAGCAGTCAGAATGATCCTTTAAAAGTCTCATTTCTTCTGCTTATAACTTTCCATTACCTCCCATCTCTCCCAGAGTACATAAAAGTTCTTCAGAGTCTTCTAAGGTCCTAGAAAATCTACCTGCTTCCCTCAGCATCCCATTCATCTCTCTAACCTCACCTCCTGGTACTCCTTCCCTTGCTGGCCTTCAGCCACATTTGCCTTCCTTGCTCCTCTTCCATTCTGGAGGTGCTGGTGGCAACCTCTGTGGCTCTTTCCTCCAACCTGAGTTTTCTGCTCCTGACCCCATAGGACTCAGCATAAGAACTAGCAGTCTCCAATCTAGCAGTGTACTGCCACCAAGAGAGAACAGTTCCTATCACACTCCTTTAAAGTACCTAGTTCAAATCACATGTTTCCTCTAAGCATGAAGATCAGCTAAATAATGTGTGATGAAGACAAAGGAAAGGAAATATGGGGATGCCAAATAAAACTGCAAAGTAATGAGAATGGAGCCATAGCTGCTGATGAGATTACTTCCAAAAGTACCTCATATTTATGTTTTAATCTCACCTTTCATTAAAGGTAGAAATTTCATGTGAGCCTTGCTGTACCATTTAGAAAAGAGGCAACCATTTGAGATTTCCAGCAGATAGCATATTTTAGCCAAGCTCTTGAAACACAAATATATGAAGAATATGGTTTCTAGGCATCCAACAAAAGCTGCCAGGGCAGGGTTTCCTTCCAGTTTCTGAGAAACTCTGGTTAGCTTTGGCAGCTAGAAGTGTTTTCATCATTGACACCTCTAGCCTATGCAAACAACTGAATAGAATCATGAGTGTTAAGGTCTTAGAATCTGACCAAAGAATAAAAGAAATCAAATAGCTAAAATAAAAAAGTACATGTTCTATGAGGCCCAAATTGAGAAGCGTTGATGAAATTCACCAAAACAAGCATTACTATTTTAAGTGTGTATTCCATTTTTTTTCTTCTTTTGAGACAGGGTCGCACTCTGTCACCCACTTTAGGGCAGTGGCACTCACGCAATCCTCCCACCTCAGTATCCCAAGTAGCTACAACCACAGGCATGTGCCACCATGCCTGGCTGCTTTTTTTTTTTTTGTATTTTTTGTAGAGACAGGATCTCACTATGCTGCCCAGGCTAGTGTCAAACACCTGGGCCCCAGCAATCCTCCCAACTCAGCCTCCCAAAATGCTGGGATTACAGACTTGAACCACCATGCCTAATCCCACATTTTCTTAACTTTTACTTTCAGTTCATGGGTACATGTGCAGGTTTTGTTATATAGGTAAACTCATGTCATGGGGGTTTGTTAATTAAAGAAGAGTGTGCACATGATCCATCTCTAGTTGCTTTTCAACAAAGATTCAGGATAAAGATCAAGTTTCCAGGACTGACTACATATGTGCTTATCCTTTGGGAACATGGGAAAGGAACTCTAATGATGCCAAATATTCATAGAGAGCAGCCAGGAAAGAAAGAGACCAGAAGAAGAATGAACTGGGCAACAAAAGGTACCCCAAAGTGCTTAAAGTTAATAGTTGAACACCTCCCCAAACTAAGCTTGATAATTTTAAGAGGTAACAGAAGTAAAAACTGATTGACATTAAACCTCACTTGTTTTTCAGATACACTGTGATATTTGCTTGACTTTATCAATAAAAGTAAGCGTTATCTCTGTCTCTTATAGTCAATTACTAAATCATTTTAAAATGGTCAAATTTTGTCAATGCCAGAAATTGGCATTCCTTCTCCATAGTTTTCATATTTTCCATACTCTCTGAGTTTCCTGAAATTCATAGCAAGAATTCTTGGTAACTTAGTGTTAATTTTATTTCTTGTTAAACATATGTATTTTTTTATTTGAAATACATTTTTAATCACATAGGAAATTCCCATGTGCAAAAAACATTTATTTTTTAATAAAAGTAATGCATGTATATAATTAAAATATAAAACACTACAAAAGGGTTTAAAATGCAAAGCAACAGTCTCCCACTCTCACCTCCCACTCTGACTCCTCCTTTACCTTCCTCGATGCTCAAAGAGAACCACCTTTATTTCTTCCAGGTTCCTTGTATAGCTTTACATTATAATCTTACATGCTAGTTTTTGATTTATTAGTTATAATCTATTATTAGCTTTTCAGTCTGATGTATTATAATTTAGCTCCATTACACATTTATATTGCCAATTTTTGTTTCTCTCTCAGTTGCCTTTATTTTTGTTTTTATTAACTATAAGCCTTATCTCTTAACTCCAATTCACTATTCCTCCCCACTTTTAGTCATTTGTAGTTATATATTTATATTGATAAATTTGATAACATTTCATTTTTCTTCTGTGTCAATAAATACTTGTGTGTGTTCTTGTTTCAGCTGACCCCTGTTGAGGCCTTACTATGTGTGTCAAGCACTATGCTACATACTTTGTATAAAGTAGCTCATTTAAGCCTCGCAAGACTATAACATAGATAACTATTGTTATTCTCATGTTACAGAAAGGAAATTGAGTAACATAGAAATTAAGTAAATTTCTGGATGCACACAGCCAGTATGATTTTTAGAGCCTGTATTTCTAATAATTGTATAATATGAACTCTTTACGTTGTCTATTAAATTTGAAAGTCATTAACCACTATTTACATTTTAATGGCAATAAGTCGCACTGTAGCGCCAAGTAGTGTATTATCATTACACTTAGTTTCTTACGTGGTTTGTTTTGTTAAAAGTTCCTAAATGCTTTTCCTTCTTTCTTACATTGACTGCCTTTCTGTCTCCTAAATTATTTTAATACAAAAATAGTATTAAATCTCCTTTTTTCCCCCTTGATATCTTTCTTCCAAAGCCTTTCATTATTCTCCTCCAAGTTGTTCTAATTTCTCTTCATTGTGCTTGCTGCCCAGGCCTCTCCTGGACTGGATCATGTTTCGAGAGCTCATGTTTTCCTCTCTCTTGGTTTACGATCTCATCATGCTACAACATACTCTCCAATAATATTCTAAGAAATGGCAGCAGAAAGTATCTTCCAGGGGCCTTAAGGTTGAAAAAATGTGTCCTTCTTTGGACAGATAGTTTGACTACTTATGCTATTCTAAGTTAAAAGTAATTCCACTTTTAGCTTTGAAGATATTGCTCCATTACTTTTTAGCCTTCAAAATTGGTGAATGGATGACCGATGCCAAATTTACACTTATTATGTTGTTGATGTGCTATTTCTTCCCCTGGAAACTATTAGGATAACTTTCTCCTTGGGATTCTGAAATTTTTAACACTATGACTGTGACGATAAGAGTGGGCTCTAATGGTCAATGCACTGAGGACCACTGGGCTTTTTTAGTCAAAGGACATTTATCTCCCACTCTGAGAAATCTCTTATTTTTATTTCCTTCCCTCTGTTTTCTCTCTTCTCTTTCTAAAATTCCTAAATATAGGATGCTGACCTTTTAAATAAATACAGATGTTAGTATGTGTCTTAACTTTTCTCTCATATTTTCTTCTTTTGATGTTTATCTTTCTTCTAGTTTATTCAACAATCTCTTCTAATGATTCCATTTTTCTTTCATTTCAGAAAACATTATTTAAGTATCTAGAGATATTTTTGTTCTCTAATTGTTCTTCTCTTGTTTGCAGCAGTCTGCTTTTGTTTTGGATGTAAAATCTCTCATTTCTCTAATATTAATTACAAGGATTTTTTTCCCTAAATTCTGAATTAACTATGTTTTCTCCAGAATCACTTCTTTCTTCTTGTTAATTTTGATCTTTCTCTTTATTTGTTGCAGAATTTTTTCATTTGGTGAGCATTGTTTGCTTGTTTGTTTGTTTCTATTGAAGCTGGAGGCCATAAAATTTTGAGTCCATCTATGGGCTCTATGAGAGTGGGTGGGGTTTACCAATTGGCAAGATACATTAAGGGTGAGTGGTTTTGGAGCCACCTTTCACACTAGGGGTCTTCAAAATGACACTACACAGAGGGCATTTGCTCCAGTGCCCTTCCTGGTTGTCTGGTTCTCCTTAGAGTGTTCGCTTAATACCATGAGTAGAGACCTTTCTTCTTTGTTTATTTGCTGTAGAAGTACATCCCTGGCTTCCCAGAGTGCTGCATACAGGGGAGGAGAGGGCCATGTCAGGGTAGCCTGTTCAGTATTTGATACTTTTATTAACCTCCTATTCTGTGTCTCCTGTTTCACTCCCATTTCCTGCTCTCCCTGTAATCCTAAGAGCCACACCCCTCTGGTGCTGTGCAGGACCAATGGGCATGCTTCTTGCCTACAACCCTCTCCCCTTGCATCTCAGGCTTCATCTTCTTCTCTTCCACCTTAACAAACATCAATCATCCTTGCACTTCCAGAAAAATGCTGACATCTCTACTGGGATGATGGCTCCCTTACTGCTCTCCCCATCGTCACAAGCTTACACCTTTACTATTGCTGTTCTGAGACTACAGTCTTCACTAGCAGAATGTGCTGGGTGCTGTGAGTTGGCTACTGTACATTGTATGTCAACTTTTTTCCTCAAAATGTACCCCTCTTCACTTGCTGGAACTGAAGATATTCCTTTACAGTTCTCATTGTTCTTCTACCTCCATTTAAATACATCAGAAGTTCCAGGGGGAGGCTTAGATATGAGCTATTTTTTTTTGTTCTGTGGAAGATTATAATATGCAACTGGGGCTGAGAACCACCAGTCCTGCTGTAGACACAGACGAGGCAAGTGGCAGACCATCTCAGGGCTGATATTTGTCTCTTCGTATGATCTAAATCAAATTTCCTGACTTTATAGACATTTGTGAAAGACTTGCTTAATTATATATGAATAGTCTCACCAAAGTTTACAGCGTTCCCTATCAAGCTACTTAAGTGTTATTATCAAGTTCTGTTAGTGGTCAAATACAAGTAAGTGTGTTTAACAGTCGTAGGATGAGGACATTGCTGAGTTCCGCAAGTCCATGGTATGACAAAAAGTCTCCTGTGGTGCACATTCACAGGAAACTCAGGTCTCTGTGAACACGCATGGATGAAGCAAGGTTATATTACTTTTAAACTTCATGTAAGGAAAAGTATGTATTTCTTACTTTAGGCATATATCTGACAATGCCCAGTCTACTTTGCCAATGAGTTACTAATATGATTAAATTCCCGTAAGATGCTATTGTAAACATACATTTTTAAGTGTATACGTTTACAAAACCTCTACTTGAAGCACGGTTGGGTTCCCTTGGCTAGAAAGTTCTGAGTTCTCTGTCCATACCCCACTTTTAAGTCAAACGTGCTATTCTCTGGAAAATAAATTTTCCCACTATGAAAAAATCCTGGAATTCTAGTGTGCATCACCTGGTGGATTTACTGGGAATGCAAACTCCTGGGCCTCAATTCCAAAAACTCAGAAGATCTGGGCTGGGACCCAGAAATCTGCATTGTACTAAGTTGTCCATATTACTCAGATGCAGAGGGTACTTGGACCTACCTTTGAAAATGCCACTCTAAGGCATTAAGGAGAAAGAGGCAGATTAATTAATAAGCTTGTGCCTTCTGACAAATAAGAGGAAACAGAGCAGAGAAAATCCTTATGTAAAGGTCTCTAAAGTACCTGAGTCCCACTAGGTTTAAGTAGGTGCTAATTCCTCACATTATACATATACATTATACATCTGAAAGGATATTGATGTTATTATTAGGTTAATTTCATTTTTTAAAGAAAAACTTAATTATTTAGGTAAATAACTTGCACCTATCAAACTACCAAACTTTGAAATGACAATGTTTGAGTTTGATATGTGAAATACTAATTCCACAGAATAATGTATCTTCTGCATACTGATCAATTTGTCTCTCCTAAACACAAAAGGTATGTAGCCTCAATCTGACCTTTGAAAATAAATGGCAGTTTTCATACTTGCCTTTTTCCAAGAATATCTCTTATATTCTGCACCCCTATGTTCTAGTGCATTGTGTCAGGGCAAACTGCAGACTCAAAAGTGAGCAGATAAGCATGTTGAAACTAGAAATCTTTTTTTTTTTTCTGTCAACTATTTTCCTGAAAGGAAAGATCACCAAAGCAAGCTATTTGGTTGAATGTAAATATTTAAATAAAGGCAAGATTACATTTAAGCTATTTTATTCATTTTTCTTAAAACCTGCTATTTTTCACTGTGTTATAAATGTAGGCAGGCAGAAACCTGCAAACATGAACTCTGAGGCAAGAGAATGTGACAGAAGTCTTTGTTAGATTCTTGAAGAAGATTGGCCCGTCTTCCTCTAGTGTCTATCCACCAGACAAGTAGTTATGATGGCTTTATAGATATTAATTTCTGCAGGGAAGTTACTCACCCTGATTGAAAAGCCTAATGTGATTGAACTCTAAATAACCATGGCCAGACGCCAAGTGAAATTTCCCCTTTCCCCCCTCCTTCTCGCCCATTTTCACAATCCTAGACAAGGGCTGTTTCAAATCTACTCCCCACCCACTCATCCCTCTGCTAGTTAGAGCAAATGCCTTTGCTTTCCCTCCCTTGAGTTGTTTTCCCTAGCTTGTGTTTCCTACCAAGTTATGTTTGTGGCCAGTATTCAACAGCTGAAATGTAGACTGATTTAGCAGGTTTTAGATCTGCTCAGATTGCAGTTAAAAAATGTTTTTAATTCAAAAATGATTAATCTCTTTGTATGCATAAAAATTGTCACTTTTTTTGGCTAGTCACACAAGAAAGAGGAGAAAAAAGAGGAGGCAAAGGGGAAAAGAAAGGGCGCCTGGACAACCTCCACGATGAGGCCAGTCCTGGGTCTGTCTTTGAACCCTTGACCCTCCTGTAACCTACCAGTTCATTCACTCCTCAGAGCTTAGAAATGGGCTTAGGTCTTCTCTCTTCATTATTTATCTCATTATTTACTTTTAAAAAAAGAATCAATTTATCTACAAAAGATTATCAACAAAAAGTAAAATTAAAAGCAAGACAAGTTGAATTATTCACATATATTTAATAGAGTGATGAGAGTATGCTAAGCCTTAAGCCAAGTGTATATTAGTAGGTCAATCATTTTTATTCATTAAAAAAAAATGCATTTACTGATTGTCCACTCTATGCCAGGCACTGAGTTTAAACAAAGGTACCCCTGATTCATCTCATCCAAACTTAGGAAAAAGTGTAATTTTAATTTCTACCTGCCACTTGTATTTATTCACTTTATCCTACAAAAAGTTTTTCATTTTCTTCTCTTTGCTCTGACAAAAGAATATTTCCTATGTTTTCAAAATCTTTTAGAATGTCACAATGTGTAATCAGTTCTCAGACTATGGTGTCTGCTGGAATGGGCCTGCCATCCAACGTCTCAGTCTATTTGGAGCATAGAGGAGTCAAAATATCACAATCCAGTGTTGTAATCAAATCTGCAATTTCAAGTTGAGGGTTTTTTTGTTTTGTTTTGTTTTTGCCTGATAGGTAACAATAACAACAACAACTAAACTATTTCCTACTTTTTTTTCCTGGGCACTAATGGTATAATGTGAGTACAGACAACAGAAACTACTGATAATCAAAATATTCTCATTTGGTTTTAATTTTTTTGTTTTATCTACAATAGAACATGAGCTTACCTTTGTTTTACAATACTTCAAATTACAATATTTCAAATTTATGAAGATAGGTTGATTCTCTCTAGTCCTATGAGTGAATTTCCTGGGCCCAGGAGTAGGAAGGGGCTGCTCCATCACATGCTGCTAAATACCCCACAGCAAGCAAAGCTGACATGGAGAGGTATTGATGAGGTAATTAGGCTTATGAGTGAGGACCAAATAGTGTCAAATAATTTCATTCTATCCTTTTTCACTAATCTTTAAAAGCTAGGGCATGGGGAATTTTGACCATTTCCTTCTGGTACCCATAAATTACAAGGGTTGCATTCCAAACTTCTGTTGCCAGCCTAGGTTTACAAAATAGCTCAGGGATTAGATTAGCAATGAAAGGTTTGAGAATATGACCTAAGATTTTGACTAATTGAATGTTCTTTCCATTACAATACAATATGCTGGTCTTTTGCTAGAATTTATTTTTTGTAGGTTATACAGGCAAATAATAGGATCTTTTATGGAATCCCTAATAGAATCCTTTAGCTTTAGTCTTCAAGATGTGGCCGGGCGCTGTGGCTCATGCCTGTAATCCCAGCACTTTGGGAGGCAGAGGCGGGTGGATCACAAGGTCAGGAGATCGAGACCAGCCTGGCTAACACGGTGAAGCCCCATCTCTACTAAAAATACAAAAAATTAGCCGGACGTGGTGGCACATGCCTGTCGTCCCAGCTACTCAGGAGGCTGAGGCAGGAGAATCGCTTGAACCTGGGAGGCAGAGGTTGCAGTGAGCCAAGATCACGCCACTGCACTCCAGCCTGGACAACAGAGCTTGACTGTCCAAAAAAAAAAAGATGCAAGTCTGAGCAGCTGTCTCAAGCAGCCAGTTTTCAGTTAGAGATGTGTATGGACACAAGGGCAAGGCTGAGGTTGGAAGAAGTAAGAAGGAATGTTTTCCTATTCTTCCCTGTCCTGCCCCAGGCCAAAATGTACCCATGACTCTCGTTTCAAAATCAGTTTTGAAGGAAAAATTAGCACCTGCAGAATAGCTGAATATTCACAGAAGCACTGTTCTTCCTTTTAGCATCTGCACAATCTGAAATCCAGAGCAATTGGAATCTTTGTTCATTAGATCAAACCACAGGATTTAAAAACAGCTTTATGAAGAGAGAGGCTAAACTACTGCTCTAAGTTATTTCCTAACCTATGCTACAATCAGGTCACAAAACCTGACAAATTTAAATGCAGCTTAACTTGCTTTCAAAATCAAAATCACAATGAGATATCATCTCACCCCAGTTAGAGCAGTTATTATCAAAAAGACAAAAAATATCAAATGCTGGGGAAGGTGTGGAGAAAAGGGAGCTTTCATACATCATCGATGGGAATGTAGTATACAGCCACTATAGAAAACAGTAGGGAGGTACCTCAAAAAAACTAAAAGTAGAACTACCATCTGATCCAGCAATCCCACTGCTGGGTATTTATCCAAAAGAAGAGAAATCAGTATATCACAGGGACATCTGCACCCCCACATTTATTGCAGTACTATTCCCAACAGCCAAGATATGGAATCAACCTCAGTGTCAATGGATAAATGGATAAAGAAAATGTGGTATATATACACAATGGAATACTATGTGGCCCTAAAAAAGAAGGAAATCCTGTCATTTTCAGCAACATGGATGACCTTGGAAGACATTATGTTAAGTGAAATAAGTCAGGCACAGAACGATAATTACCACATGTTCTAATTCATATGTGGGAGCTAAAAAAGTGGAGCTCATAGAAGTAGAGAGCAGAGCTGTGGTTACTGGAGGCTACGAAGAGTGGTAGGGAGGGAGTGATAGGAAGAAGGTGGTTAAAGGATACAAAATTGCAGCTACATAGGAGGAACAACTTCTAGTGTTATACGTCACTGTAGGGTGACTATAATTAATAATAACTTATGGTATATTTTCAAATAGCTAAAAGATAGAATTTTGAATGTTTCCAACACAAAAAAATGATGGATATGCTGATTACTCTGATTTGATTTTTATACATTATACACATATGTCAAAATATCACTCTGTACCCTGTAAATACATACAATTATCATGTGTCAATTAAAAATTTTTTAATTAAAAAAACTTGCTTTTACTATCATAAAATATATAATAATTATTACATTAGTGGTTCATGACAATCTTTTTCCTTTAAATGCTGCATTCTATTGAAATTTAAGAAACACTGACCTAAATGCACAAAGTTCTCAAACTTGAAGGCCAACCAAGCATAAATATTTACTTTAAAATAATTACTTTTGTAGAAAAAAACTAAATGATCTAATGAATACGAAAGATGTTTGAAAAGTTTTTAAATGCTAAGAATGAAATGACAGTTGCTTGATCATCATTGTCAGAAATGTCTCCTGGCACAGCACTTTATCACTTGATAAGATGTACGTAAATGACTCGGAAAGAAGTTACCCTGAACTACAAAAACATGGAGTTATGAATAATTAACAACAACAACAGTAATGGTGATCCTATGAAATTAGTTATTTAAATTCAGTAAACACATACTGTAAGTGAGGAGCATGAGAGATTGCTAAAGAAGTTGAAGGAGAGAAAGGAAGGAAATAGAGGATTTTGGACAGGACTACGTGAACATGGTAATATTAAAAAATAGAATAGAGAGAATGCAAGTCAGAATGTAGAGTGAACGAACTAGTGAGAGCAAGAGAAGGAAGGAAGGAAGGAATTAAGGTTTGTCTTTTGTTTTTAAAGCAATCAGAAATGCAAGGTCTGGGTGCTGTTTTGGGATCTGCCCAATGTTCTATTTCTGGGTACCCCGTTCTTAATACACTATACTTTTTCTCACATTTCTGTAGGTTCATTGGTGGAAAGTATGGGAGACCAATTGCAAAAATATTCCCAAATCTTACCTTTTTTAAATATCCGTGTCTTTGGAATATGGATTGGATATTCCATACATTAAGACTTGGAGTCTATTTCCTCATCACTAGAATCGGAATTGGTCCTGTGACATACTTTGGCCTATAAAATGCACAGAAGTAATGGTTGATGGTGCCAGTTCTGAGCTTAGGCCTCAAGAGGTCTTGCATACTTCCACTTTCTTGAACTCTCCTGCTACTGTATGAGCAAGCCTGATCTAATCTGAGAGACCTAGTCATTCCACAGTTCCAACCAATAACCCAGACACAGCTGACTCCAGATGCTTGAGTGAGCTCACCCAAGATTAGCTAAGCCTGGTTCAGATCTTCAGCACTGCCTAGACAAACTATAGGCTGGTTATGCTTTGTCTATAATATGTGTATAAACCATAGGCTGGTTATGGTTTGTCTATAATATGTCTTTAAACCATAGGCTGGTTATGGTTTGTCTAATAACAATAATACATCTTTATTGCTTGTGCTGCTAAATTTTGGATTGGTTTGTTACATAAGAGCTAACTGACAGAGAAAGGCACAGGTTTCTAAAGACTATCAACAAAGAGGATAAAAGGGACTTCTGTTACTTATTCAAGTATTTATTGAAAATCTACTGTGCATCACGTATGTTTATTGCGGCACTATTCACAATAGCAAACATTTGGAACCAACCCAAATGTCCATCAGTGATATACTGGGTTAAGAAAATGTGGCTCATATACACCATGGAATACTATGCAGCCATAAAAAAAAGGATGAGTTCACACCCTTTGCAGGGACATGGATGAAGCTGGAAACCATCATTCTCAGCAAACTATCACATGATCAGAAAAACAAACACCACATGTTCTCACTCATAAGTGGGAATTGAACAATGAGAACCATGGACACAGGGAGGGGAACATCATACACTAGGGCCTGCGGGGGGTGGCGGGCTAAGGGAGGGATAACATTAGGAGAAATACCTGATGTAGGTGGTGGGTTGATGTGTGCGGCAAATCACCATGACACTTGTATACCTATGTAACAAACATGTATGTTCTGCACATGTAATCCAGAACTTAAAGTGCAATAAAAAAAAGAGGCCAAAAAAAAAAAAAAAAGAAAATCTACTGTGCATCAAGGACTGTATTAATTTGTTACAAAGAAACCTGGTATTATTCTTTGTAATGGGATTGAACTGCAAATTTTAGTCCATCCAATTTTCTCCTAACTTACTCTAAATTTCTATATTATTGTTTCATTCATCAGGGAATTTTTTATGTTTAAGGCCTATTTATATTATTCTTTTAAGAGTGATCTGTTGATAGTTTTTCCTTACTTTTCTACTGAGCCATCAATTTTTTTAAAATTAACTTCTAAAAACTCCTTATATATTAGAGAAGCTGTTGTTTGCAACACAATGGTGGTATTCTCCAAGATTAACATTGTCATTAGAATTTGTTTATATCTTTTTGACATAAAGATTTTTTCATAAATGTTATTTTATGTGTTTGACTATATTATATATTACTTATATTTTGTGGCATCTATATTTTTAGTCATAATTTTAAAATTCTTCCTCATTAGAAGGTTTAAATGAATTCTCCTATAGTAGTTCTTTTACAGTTTCATGTTTGACATCAAGTATTTCATTTATTTTGCATCTATCCTGGTGTTAATGTGAGACATGAATTCAACTTCTGTGATTCCTTTCTAGTTTAATTGCATCATAAATAAAGTGTGCTCTAGACACTACTCCACCTTTTAGAATTTACTATAGTTTTATTATGGCCCAATATTTTATGAATGTTCTAAGAAAGAAGGCCCAAACTTTCTTTTTAGTGGACAGAACTTGATTCATATCACTCAAAGATGTCTTATTTCTCATATTATTTTGCTCTTTCATATCTTTATTTTTTTGTCTATAGAAATGTCACAAACTGAAAGAAATAAATAAGATTTCGTATTGTTTATGTGTTTCTACTGTTCCACAAATCTCTTTTATTTATGCTTTTTAAATGTTGCTGCTTAGTTATTGAGCCATAGATATTGTTATTGGTTTTATCTTCATTAAATATAAACTGACTTTTCTATTATAAAAAGCCCTTCTTTGGTTCATTTAATGTTTTTGGACTTGAATTTCAAATTGACCACTACTTTATTTTTGTCGCCACTTGCCTGGTATATTACTACCAAATATTTTATTTTCAATGTTTTTGAGTCTTTTTAAAAAAGTATATTTGTTTTAAATATTATGGGGTTGAGTTTGGCTATGTGGTCCAATGTGAAAATATACTTTTAAAATTAGGCTTTTTCAGGCCTATTATTTTTAATGATATAATAGATTGGTTTGGTCTTGATTTCTTTATATTATTTCATGTTGTATTGTGTCTTGAGCACTGTGACTATGTCATCCCACTATTTTCTGGGTTCCATGGTTCTGAATGAGATGTCAGTTGTTAATCTTATTGAGGAAAACTTGTATATGATTAGTTACTTTTCTCTTGTTGATTTCAAGATTCTCTCTTTGTCTTTCAACTGTCTGTCTAGGTGAGTATCACATTGAGTTTATAATATTTGGAGTTTATTGAATTTCTTGGATGTGCAGCTTTTTCATCAAACTTGAGAAAGTTTTTACCATTTTTTCTTCAAATATTCCTTCTGCCCCCATCTGTCTTGACTTTCTGGACTCTCATTGTGTGCATGTTGGACTCTCATTGATGGTATTCCTTAGGTCTCTGAGGCACCGTTAAGTTTTCTTCATTCTTTTTTTTTCTATTCTTTAGACTGGATAATTTTAATCACCCTATCTTAGAGTTTGCTGGTTCTTTCTTCTGTTGGTTAAAATCTACTATTGAGTGCTTTTAGTACATTTTTTATTTCAGTTATTGTACTTTTCAGCTCCAAGATAGCTATGTGGTTTTTTGTAAAAAAAAAAAAAAAAAAAAAAAAAAATATATATATATATATATATATATATATATTTTCTATCTCTTTATTGATATTTCTTATTTGGTGAGATATTATTCTCAGATTATCTTTTAATTCTTTACACATGGTTACCTTTAGTTCTTTAAACATTTATAAATAGCTAATTTAACATCTTGCTTAGTAAGTCAAACGTCTTGGCTTCCTTAGTGACAATTTCTATTGATGACTTTTTTATTTCTGTGTATGATCCATATTTTCCTTTTTCTTTGCATATATCATGGTTTTTTGCTGAAAACTGAACATTTTAAATCATAAAATGTGGCAAATCTGGAAATCAGATACCCCCCTTTCTCCAACATATATTGTTTTTACAGTTTGTTGGTTTAGTGACTTTCCTAGGCTAATTCTATAAAGTCTGTATTCTTTGTTTAGCCAGCAAACTTTGTGCTAGATTAGCTCAGTGGTCAGTTAATGATTGGACAGAGCATTTCTCAAATTTCCTTAAACCATACATCTCCTAGCCTTTGCTAAGAGGCTCTGTGTGTATGTTAAAGTATGTTTTCAATATTTGGCAAGCAGTTTATAGCTCTCCATTAGCCTTTACTTCCTGCTTGTTCAGAAACTCAAGGTAATGAAGAAGTGAGAGAAGAGAGCCTTTTAATATCTTCCTTGGGCATTCATACAGCCTTATGCAAGTACATAATCTACTAGATTACCAGGAATATGTCAGAGCTTTTCAAGTCCCCCAAAGACATTTCATTCCCTTTATTCCTTGGAAGTTTTTTGGTCAGCCTCTTGTTAGCTCCAACTAGTAATGCTGTCTCAGGCAGCCACCATGTTAAACAATCACTACTGGTTGTTTTCCACAGATTCCCTGTGGGCAGATGTTAACAAAGTGTGAGCTCTGAGTAATGTCAAATAAAGACAAGCCTTGAGAATTGAGATTTTCAGAAACTTGCCAGATAGGTCAAAGAGTGACAATTTTCTCTAGTGAGGCTTTTGGTGGGAGTTCCAAAACCATTCTGCTGCCTCCAGTGGCTTCAGGTCTTCAAGTCTGTACAGCCAACATGGTTTCAAGGCTGTTGGTTATCAAGGCTCCCATAGAGCTGGGAGAGGACGATGATAATAGGGAAGTTAAAAAGCCACAAAACCCATTGTTCTTACTTAGATTCAGACATTTTTCTTGTTGGTCGCCAGTCTTTGATAAATTTTAAGAGCTCTAAAACATTGATTGTCCTAGTGTTCTCATTGATCTTTTTGAAGAAGGGAATTTTTGGAGGTTTTTACTCTACCATTCTTGGAGTATGGATTGTGTTTTTATAGTTAAAAAAATCAAATATCTTTCATGTGGTCTCATATTTTTGCTTTGTTTTACTTATGCAGTAACTCTAAAATTTAGGAAGTTACATATTTTAATCAGGGATTTACTTTTTAAAGTAGCACTCTTATATGTACTTACTTTTATATGTAGCACTCTTTTTTTTTAACTCTTTAGACAGTATATATGTTAGCTTCTTCTATAAGCAATGCAGGGTTGGCATTTTCTTCTCTTTCCTCTCCCTTCCTTTCCTCTACCACCCAAATTTTTATTGTTTAAATCAATAAACTTTATTTTTTAAAGCAGTTTTAGATTCACAGCAAGACTGAGTAGAAAATATAGAGTACCCATATATCCTGTCTTCTTCCCCCATACACATAACCTCCCCCACTTTTGATATCACATGCTGCAGTGGTACATTTGTTATAAGTGATGAGCCTACACTGACACATTATCATCACCCAAATTCTGTAGTTTACGTTAGAGTTCACTATTGATATCGTATATTTCATGGGTTTAGACAAATGTGTAATGACGTGTCTCTACCATTATAGTATTATATAGAATAATTTCACTGCCCTAAAAATCCCCTGTGCTCTGCCTATTTATCCTTCCCACTCCATAGCCCCTGGAAACAACCAATCTTTTTACTGTTTCCATAGTTTTGCTTGCTCCAGAATGTCACAGAGTTGGAATCATACAGTATGTAAACTTATCAAATTGGGTTCTTTCACTTAGTAATACGCATTCAAATTTCCTCCCTGCTTTTTTATGGCTTGGTAGCTCATTTATTTTTATCACTGAATAACACTGCATTGTCTAGATGTACTACAGCTTATTTATCCATTCACCTACTGAAGGACTTCTTGGTTGCCTCTAAGTTTTGATCATTATGAATAAAGCTGCTATAAACATCCATGTGAAGGGTTTTGTGTGGACATAAACTTTCACCTCTTTTGAGTAAATACCAAGGAGTATGACTGCTTATAGATTGTATGATAACAGCATTTTTAGTTTTGTAAAAAGCTGCCAAACTGTCTTCCAAAGTGGCCGTACCATTGTGCATTCCCACAAGAAATGAATGAGAGAACCAAATCCTTGCCACCATTTGATGCTGTCAGTGTTTTGGATTTTGAACATTCTAGTAGATATGTAGTGGTATCTCATTGTTGTTTTAATTTGCACTTCTTTAATGACATATGATGTTGGATATATTTTAATATGCTTACTTTGCATCTGTATAGCCTCTTTGATGAGGTGTCCCTTCAGGTCTTTTGTCCATTTTTCAATCAGGTTGTTTGCTTTCTTATTGCTGATTTTTAGTAATTTTTAAATGTTTGGATAACAGTCCTTTATCAGATATATCTTTTGAAAATATTTTCTCTCAATCTGTGCTTTGTCTTCTCATTCTTTTGACAATATCTTTTGCAAAGCAAAAATTATTTTATTTTAGTGAAGTCTAGCTTATCAATCATTACTTTCATGGATTATGCCTTTGGTGTTGTATCTATAAAGTCATCTACCACAGATTTAATTAATAATATTATCCTTCTTAGCATTTAATTTTTCTGTTATATAGACTTACAATGTTGATTACTTGGTTCGTTTGATTTAAATGCTCTCCTTTAGCTTTAAAAGAGGTAAAGGGGAAATTTACTCTAGTTCCCTCTTTCCTTTTCCAATTTGTCTTAGCTGTATCATTTCTACATTTTCAGCACTTATAAAATTAACATTCTATTTGGTTACATTAGCTCCACATTTGTTTTTAATTTTGAATTGCATCTAAACATATTCTGTGACCACCATGAACACCTTTGTTGTAATTCCTGGACTTTGGCTGGCTGGAGTCTGTCTTCTAGCAATTTTATCAATAAGGACTTTGAAGGACAACATTTTCTGGATTCCAGAATGTTCAAGACTTTTTGTTTGTACCCTTTATATTTGAAGAATAGTTTGGCTGTATATAAAATCTTTAGCTCACATTTCTTTCCTTGAGAATATTACAGGTGTTACTTTAAGAATTTTGGCATTGGATGAAGGTATGGAGAAGTCTGAGGAACACCTATACATTTTTTCCTGTTGTAAATTATCTGACGATTTTGTCTGCGATTCTTTCTTTATCTTTACATTCAGTATACTTACTGGATGGGTCTTGGTGTTAACTGTTGTGGGTTATTATTCCTGGACACAGAGTGTACTCTTTCAGTATGTGATTGTAGGTCATCTTTTACATTAGGAAAGTTTTCTTCAATTATACCATTAGCAATTTGTTCTGTTTTACTTGGTTATTTCCCTCTTTGACAGCTTCAAAGGACTATGTTGAATCTTCTTTACTTGTTTTTATGCTACACCTTTTCCCTCCAGTTTTCTCATTACTATTCTCTAAGTTTCCTACTTGCTTTTTACATTCTTTTCTCTGTGTGCTTCTTCCATTTTTTCCTTCTTTGTACTTCTCCTTTATAATTTTCCTTCATAAAGACTAGTGATTTTTTTTTTAATTTTAAAATTCACAATAAAACATTTGGCTACAATTTTTATTTGCTCTGTCAACATTTTTTCTGGCTTGTGTCCTTTGTGTTTGGAAGGTTTACTGCTATTTCTTTCTTACATCTTCTCTTATATAATCTTGGTGTCAGTGCTATGCTAATTCCTTTCATTAATGAACAATTTGAATTTTTCTGAGCAACTTGTTTTCAGAAAGTTCCATTAAGAGAAAAAACATAACTGTACCCTTTCAGACTCTTAATTCCTTTTTTTCTTTCTTAGAGACAGACTTCTTTCTTCCAATATGGCTCATCTGTGTGGTTCTTCCATAGCCCTGCACTTTTGTTTCTCTGAGAGTCACTGGGTCCATGAAGGCTCTTGTTGCCACCCCCGATCACACAGGATCTACACCCATTGCTGCCAGCATGAATACAGCTTCTGCACTTCTCAGATAACCTCTCACCTGCAGGAAGTGCAATTTTCTGAAATCTGCTGCCATGGGATCCTCTCGTGAGTCTCTTTGCTTCTTCTCCTCATGTTTTATATGTGGCTTTTGTCTGGTCTTGTTGCTTTTGGCAGCCTTTAAACTTATTTTGAAGACTGCAGTAAATTTGCTTCCTAGTTTTGCCAAAAATGGAATATGTAGGTTCTTTTTGTATTTCTTATTTTTTTATTTGTTTGATTTCAAAAGTAGAAGAGGGAAATATTAACACATCTATGTTAATGCCAGAAGTGCCTCTAATTCAAATTTAATCTGCTTCAACATGACCTAATTCAGTGCTGTTTCTGTTAGGGCATTGAGACCATCCTGAACATGTATTACAAGACAGGATGTTGCCCAGATGGAAAATGTCCACAGTATTTTATGTATGGATCTGTAGATTTAAAAAAAATGCTAAGTTAAAAATAACATTGGAAATGATAATTTGAAATAATTCTGTTAAATATAAAAATAGAGAATATGGTTATTCAAAATAATTTTGTCTGGTAATTCTAGCGGTTAGAAACCATTTTAGAGAGAGTAAGAATAATTTACATGTAAAAACTAGAAGAAATTGTATCTACAGAGATCATGCTCTTTTGAGTTTTTGTAAGGAAAAAAGTTATCCATGCATTTTCTTCAATAAAATTTGCTATAACTTAGTTGGGCCACAATTAGGATTGTAGCAGAAATTTGTAGTTTCCAGATAGTCTCACCGAGCTTATACATCTAAAATATTTTTAGAAAGTTTTGCTTTTATTAGGTCTATATTTTATCATGAGAAAGGGGGATTATATGCTTATAAAAATTATAAGAACGCTTAAGTCTTTTCTATGTAATACATAGCAAAATGAAAATATTCAGAGGGCTTTCAGTGTCATCTATATAACAGATGATGTTTACTCAGAATAGCAAAATATAGACCAAAAAGAATGAGATTTTCCAATGATTTTCACAAAGCCAACTGTTGCTAGAATGGTCCTAAGAAGCCGGCATATAGAGAAAATACAGAGAGAAAAGGTATTTTCTTTCTGACTTAAAGAAAAAAAATTTCTTAAATGATTTGGATAAGTGTTTCTTCTGGGGTAATATGTGTTAATAATCAGGTAAATGAAAAATAATGTTCATTCCTCTTCTAATCATTTCCAGATGTTTTGGAAGGGATATGTATGCGGATATATTTATTTTATAAATAATATAAATTATAATTAATAACTATGTAATAAATAAACATATATGTTATGAATTATATTAACAGATACACTTCAGGAACCTTTCCATGTCAATGCATGTGAGAAATATTTTACATATACACTTAGACCAGCTGTTGCATAGTATTTAGTTTTATGAATATATAATAATTAATTTAACCAAATCTCTACCTGGAAACATTTTTATTTTTGTATGCATAACTTTTTTCATTTGTATAAAAACTTCTATAAGTGGCATTGCTTGGCCAAATTTTTATGTGTATATGTGTATAAATATACGTACATGATCTATAATGTGTGAGAGGACACTTTTCTGGCTGGAATAACAAGTGAGGTGGAAGCAGAAGAAGGGGATTAGATAAGAGGGGCAGAGTGAGATAAAGGAGCCAGATCATGCAGGCCTTTTAGGCCGTTGTAAAGACTATCATTAATCTTTTTAATTTTGCTGTCTTAGTCAGTTCAGGCTGCTACAACAGAATACCATATATTGGGTGGCTTAAACAACAAACATTTATTTCTCACAGATCTGGAGGCTTCCAAGTCCAAGATCAAGATACCAGCAGATCTAGTGTCTGATGAGGACAGTTTGCAGACAGCTATCTTCTCCTTGTAGCCACACCTGGTGAAGAATAAAAGCTCTGGTCCATCCATCTCATAAGGGCACTAACCCATTATGGAGGCTCCACTCCCATTACTTAATATAACCCTGATGTCCTCCCAAAGCCCCCACCTTCAACTACTATCAATCACCTTGGGGGTTAACACTTTAACATATGACTGCTGGGGAAACACAAACATTCAGCACATAGTACTTGCTGATCTGAGATATAAAAGAAGACTTCTCACAATATATGCATTGCTCATTTGTATGCCTTGGTACATAAATTGCTCATTTTGCCCCTGTTTTCTGTTGGGTTGTTCATATCATTCTTTTTTATTTATAAAATCATTTTTAAAAAATATTAGAAATATGAGCTCTTTGTGTCTTGTATGTTACCACAGTTCACTATTAATAGTTTTTCCATTCTAAAGGATCTTAAAAGGTCTTCCTTATTTATGACTTACATTTAAAATATATCTTTGGGGCTGGGTGCAGTGGCTCATGCCTATAATCCCAACACTTGGGGATGCTGAGGCAGGCGGATCATGAGGTCAACGGATCGAGACCATCTTGGCCAACGTGGTGCAACCCCGTCTCTACTAAAAATACAAAAATTAGCTGGGCATGGTGGCGTGTGCCTGTAGTCCCAGCTACTCAGGAGGCTGGGAGAATCGCTTGAACTCAGGAGGCAGATGTTGCAGTGAGCCGAGATTGTGCCACTGCACTCCAGCCTGGGTGACAGAGCGAGACTCCATCTCTCTCTCTCTCTCTCTCTCTCTCTCTCTCTCTCTCTCTATATATATATATATATATATATATATATATATATGTGTATATATATATATATATGTATATATATATATGAGCATTTTATGCCTATTCTTTGCTTTGTGATGTTTATCAGTTATGGTACCTGGCATCTAGTTACTAAATGTAGTTTGAATGAAATTAACACACATATTTGCTAGATCCTTAGTCACTGATGAAGATTAGACTTTTTGGTTGTCATTTGTGGTAGGCAGAATAATGCTCTTCCCTCCAAAAATGTCCATGCCCTACAATCCCCCAAACCTGTGAATGTTACTTTACATGGCAAAATAAATTTGAGTTTGTGATTAAATTAAGGATTTTGAGATGGAGAGGTTATTCTGGATTAGCCAGGTGGGACAAATGCAATCACAGGGGTTTGTATAAGAGAGAGGAAGAAGTGTCAGAGTCAGAGAAGAGACAAGACAACAGAAGCAGAGCTCATAGAGGAAAAAGATTTGATAATACCATGCTGCTGGCTTTGAAGATGGTTAATGGGGCCATGAGCCAAAAACTGCCAGTAACCTATAGATGCTAGAAAAGGCAAGGAAATGGATTCTCTCCTGGGACCTCCAGAAGGAATTCAGCACTGCCAACTCAGTTTGGGCTCCTGACCTCCAGAACTCTAAGATAACAAATTTGTGCTGTTTCAAGCTTGTGGTAATTTCTTACAGCAGCAATAGGAAATGAATGCATTACTCTATTTATTGACCTGGATTAATTACTTTACTACTTCTTGATGTATCAGTTTCTTCATTTATGGTGTGGAACTTCTATGATATTGTATTAGTCCTTAGATTCCTCTCAGATGAAGCCCTGAGGGGTTGTATGTTTTGTGTAATGAAGCAGAATGCAGATTTGTCACTCTTCTCACTTTATCATTCATAGGAAGGAGGCAGTGTGTTTAGTATAATACCCTCAGGGAATTTCTACCATGTGAGTTTGGCTCTGGTATACGTTGCTTGCTGTGCTCTACTTAGTAAATAAAAGCCTTGTAGAATCAGGATCAGAGGGGACGAGAAGCTCTGCTATCCTAAAAAAAAGTCCAAAAGAGGGTGCACAACATGCGCCAGGGCAGAGAAGTGGTGCAGTCGGTGCAGGTGGCTGTTAGTGGAAGCTTTGAACACAGGCTGACTTCCTGAAGGCTCTCTGGGTTTTCTGTTGTGTGTTCACTGGCTGTGTGAAATGGACTACACAGCCACGTTAGGTGATTGCAGAGAGAGATAATGGTACAGGGCCCACAGCTGGTTGATCTCAAGAGCTGTTTTTTCACTGACAGGCGACAGGTCCGGGATGAACCATCCATGAAGGTCCAATATCTTTTGTGTTCTAGTCAAGGCTGGCCAGATGGAAGTTTGTCACTGTATAAAATACATGGTTTCTAGAGGGACTGAACAAGCCACATGGCCATATTTGCACCATGAATGAGATGGATGAATGGACTTGATACACTGTGTGGACAATTTTTTGCTGCTGAGGCACTAACCAAACAAGCCCAACCGTTCTTCAGGCACATAAGAGATAGGGATGCAAGCCCACAAACTTTCATAAACCATCATCTCATGATTGAAATTTTAAACCTATAGTTATACAGAGAAAATATGTGTATGATAAGGAATATCATTAATATCATTGTCTTCCTAGGACCAAGAATAACATTTTGGTTAAAGTGACAAAACTATTAAGTCAAATACAAGTTACATTCTCTGTACTTTCCTTCTGAAAGCCTCGTGGGATCTAGAATGAGTTTTCAATTCCATTGCTCATAGTTATACATACATAGTTGAATACAAGATCTCTAGTCTTTATTCTTTCTGATTAATTAGCCAGATTTGACTCTAGCCAGCTATGTGACTACCCTGTGAAAGGGACCAGATGTATCTGTCTTGTTATTTAAGGGAGGTTTTATATAATCTGACTGAATTGCACAGCCCGAATGTTTCTGTGTTCCCATAAGAGTGATGAATGAATAAACAACTGAAAACACTAAGCTAGCCATTAATTTATCTTGGGGACCACCACAAAATATAGTAAAAATAAAAATAGATATGGTGCTTTGGGACTTGATGGCAACTGACTTATGAAAAGTTTCACCCTATAATTGAGACAGTTGAATTCACTAACTTGTGACTCCAGGTTGGATTCAAGTATGGTTTTCTATTTTTCTTCTGATTGTTGGACAAACTGTGTGTTTCTCAAAGGAACAGTATTAGTCTTTTTGGTCCCTGGGTTCAGAGGCCACATTTGTGGCTTGTCAACATTTTGCCAAAAGCTTTGTTAAAATAAAATAGGCCATTATCTAATCTGTGTGGAAACTCTGGGGGTGGTAAAAAGGAGAATTTTCTTACTGGGGATAAAATAATTTTGCTTTGGTTTCAGTAGAGTATTCATTTCTTATTTGACTCATGAACAATTTAATGTACAGCCTACTCAGTTTGGGATAATGTTGAATTTTAGGGTATTGTTAATAACAAATAACAATAATTCTTTGAACGTAGTCTTTTATATTTTTAAAGAACTCATTATATTTAAATAAATTGTCTTTCTTTTCAGTTTTTATTTACCAAGAAATATAATAGTGGTCAAACGAACCTCATTCAATTCTAAACCAAAGTAAATAATGTTTTCTGAGGGTAATCAATTATTTGGGGAGTCCACAGGCTACCATTTAATGTGCCAATGGAAACAACTCATTCTTCCTCATCATTTCTTTGCATTAACTATCACCTCCTCTTAGCATTTATGGCTCACGTTTGGTGCGTGACTTGGGTTCAGGTGATGGAAATCATCTTTAACTAATTAACTTCTCTCTTCCCGAGAGCAGAATCTCAACAAAGTGCTCACTGAGAGCTGCCCTGACAAATCTCCCAGGAAAGGCAGTGTGACGTGGAGCAAGGAACACCACGGTAGGAGTCCAAAGGGCAACTTGTTTGTCTTAGCTCTTCTACTGGTCATATGATCATGTATGGATCTCCTTCCCCGTAGAGTGATGATAATACACGTGCCCTGCCAAGAGCACAGGCCAATGTGTGGCATAAATCAGATCAAGAATCTGCAAGTACTTTGTAGGTCATAATGTGTTGGGCAAATGTAAGATACCACTGATATTTGATTCCACGTAGGCCCTGCCCTAACATAGCTGAGTCTCTCTATGCTGCCTACCCAAGTATCTGGTCTCTTACCATAAATGGAACAGCAGGAGCCCCACCCTTGGTAGCCAGAAGGCAGAGTCATCCTCTGTTGGATGTTTCATTCAAACAGCTGTTTCACTCACACAGCTCATTTCTCCCACCTCCTCCAGCTCCCATCTGCTTTACATAGAAACCACCACTCTCGGGATGTGACCCAGTTGCCTCACCACACACAGAGACTTCCTCCCAGAGCACACACACCCAGAGCACAGGAGAGTCACTGTGCTGCCCCTAAGCTCATGACCAACACATCTCATTATCCACATGGTACATCCAGGGTTTGCCCTTCGCTGCTGCTTCCATCTCCCAGTTGCCACTTAAGAGTGTTCCTATTTCTTGGAGGTGTCACTGTAATTTCCTTCTCATTATTGGTGTTCTCAGGATGTAATTTATTCACTAGGACTCAATGTACATTCTAGCACTTCTAACAGTATTATTTACAAATTAGAAATTGGTGTTAATAATGTTGAAAAATGACTGAGTCAATTTTTTCACGCTGCTCAGTCCTCAGCAGGCCCTAAACATGAAAGGGAATTGCAGGTAGACCTGTGTGAGTCCTGAATGCAGAAATAAGTTACGTGACAAAGCCGGCAGGCAAGTGATATCTTTTTGGTTGGGGCAGGATGACAGAGGTTAGTGATAGTACCAGTGGCTTTTTGATTTGGGTTGGGAGAGCACCTGTGGTTGGTGGGGTGGGGGCGGCTTCCTCACTGTGGCAGAGAAGACTTGGGTAAAGCAGGTCCTTTTCCAGGGTGGTCCTCTAGTGAGGCTCGGAGCTGGGTGTTACTCCTGGAAGCTCATTCCCCCTTCTGCTGAGCCTAAGGAGGCAAGCCTGTGTTGCGTGGGAAAGACTGTGTGTTTGGGGCGGGTGGAGAGTGGAGGAGGAGGTTCTCCCTTCTATGCTCCTGACGGATCATCATTCGCCTCACAGAGCAGGAGGTAGGGCTCAGCTCTACCCTTCAGCTTCTCTGTAGCAAGCTGCCAAGCCGCCAAATGGTTCCAGAAGTAGCTTGCTTGTTTCCTCCCCACATGTAGATCCATGAGTATCTGTAAGCTCCTTGATGGCCAGGTCTTCCACATATTTGTAGCCTTAACAGTCTTGAACAGTGTCCCAGCATGGGAAGGTGTTTAATAAATGTTCAGTCCCTGGCTAACGTATGGAAGCATGAGCTTGTGTGTGTGTCTGGGTCAGAATTTCTTCTAAATTTCAGTGTTTTTCTGTAATTAATTATGCTTTAAGCTTACACACATCATGGTTTGCCAGTGACCTAAGAAGGTTGCACAACTATCATGCATTAGGATTTCCTGACACCTACATATATAAAAAAGAAATTAAATAATATGAAAGATTGAAAAAAATCTTTTAATATTATTATGCAGTTGAAACAGCAAACATGTATATAGGGTTACTTTGAGAGAGGCACTCTTCTACGGGCTTTATATGCATTAACTCATTTAATCTTCACATTGATCCCATTTTACTAATGAGAAAATTGAGACACAGAAGGATTCAGTAATTTACCTAAGGTCACACAGCTAGTAAATAGTAGAGTTGGTATTTAAACTCAGGCAGTCAAACTCTAGAGTCTGTGTTCCTAACCCCTATACAGACTCCATTTTACATTTCACTGAAGACACAGTGAGGATACATTGATTTTATAGTAAGTGAAATAGCTAGGGCTCAACATAGGTGCACTCCAAATTCTGTGGTACTTATCTGTAATAACTGGTATTTGTATAGCACCTCACATTTTCTAATACCTTTCACGATAGTATTACTTTATTGGTATCCTTTGTTTGCGTGTTGCTATAGGTGTGTGATACTTTAGGAGATCCATTATCCCATCCAATCTTCCCATTAGTCCTGTCCTATAAAATAGAGATGAGTTGTTATTTAAGGATATAAGTAACATTTAAAAATCAAATAATACCAGCAAATGCTAAAACATCAAATAATATAGAGCTAATATTGAAAAGCAAATCTATTACTCCCTCCCTCAACTCAATCCTGCTTCCCAAAAGCAACTTACTTTAAATTTGTTTTTAGTTATTCAGCTGGTTACATTTAAACTCTAAAGTAGAGATTTTTAAATCTATTCTTAACTTAAAATGTTCAGACATGATCCATTGGCTGCCTGCTACAAAGAATGAAAATTCAGCTCACTGCCAGCATCTTCTTTTCCTTCCAATGTTTATTACTTATATTAGAACTTTAATTTTTTTGAGGATGGATTATCTTAGTAACTTTAAATTCTATATATTTCTAATTTGTTTTGGTTCAACTGTATCTGGAACCCCATTCTAAATAAGGGAGGATTTTAGTACACTGCACTTTCACTTTATCTTACCACTTTCTCTCACCACTTTCTCTCTCCCACTTTCTGCTGACTGTATCTTGAATACCATCAACGTTGCTGCTATTTATATTATGTAATATGTTGTGTAATTAGAATTAAGGCCTCTGTGCTTTGTCCATAAGTTGACTATAAAATTTAGAAGTCAAGAAATGGCCTACACATTATGACAGTATTGGTACTTTTTAGTACATAACCTAAGAATTACACTTTCTTTTCAGCACGTTCAAATCATGACTATTGATTGACCTACTTGAAAGAGACTGTTCTTGGGATCAAGATCAACTAGATTCTCAATCACTAAATAATCATGTCATATTTAAGGCTTCATTTTTGGAATAAGAGTATTGGTTTGCCCTGGGTTCCTTCAACTTTTCTCATCAAGCTTATTCAGTCTTTCGACCATGATGGATAAATCTTCCGCTACCTGGCCATGCACGGTGACTCATGCTTGTAATTGCAGCACTTTGGGAGGCTGAGGCAGGCAGATCACAAGGTCAGGAGATCGAGACCATCCTGGCTAACATGGTGAAACCCTGTCTCTACTAAAAATACAAAAAAAAAAAAAATTAGCCGGGCATGGTGGCGGACACCTGTAGTCCCAGCTACTCAGGAGGCTGAGGCAGGAGAATGGCATGAACCCAGGAGGCGGAGCTTGCAGTGAGCCGAGATCGTGCCACTGCACTCCAGCCTGGGCGACAGAGCAAGACTTCGTCTCCAAAACAAAACAAAACAAAACAGCTTCTTCTACCTTTTCCACCTCCTGAGGTCTTTATCCCCTTGTTACAATCTGGACCAGGGCTCTGAAGATCAGTAGCAGACCTTCCATCCTTGGTCTCCTCTTTGTTGTTCTCCTAGGTTGAAACCTGTTTCCTTGATTCTATGTCCTTTTCCTAATCATCAATCCCATGTATGTTTGAGTACGGTCTTAAACATTGCAGGTTAATAGTCTTAGATCTTAATATTGAATACAGTGAGTTCTAAATTTCTCTTCAAAGAATCAGTATGTCAGTATGTTCAGTTCTTTGTTCTCCATTTTAAAGTTTAACTTCCTTGTTCTCCTCACCCCTCGTTTCAGTAAACAACCTTTTCCACGAGTTCAAATCAGTAGTTCACATCTGTTCCCCTGGTCACCTCCTCCGTCCGGAGTCGACCCTGGTCTCTTGCTCTGACCTGAATCATCCTGAATCACCTGTTCTGTAACCACCCTTCCCACCAAACTACTCACTCCATGACTCCAACTCCTACCCCCTCTCTCTTTAAAATAGCCAATCAGAATTAGCTTAGACTGTGCGGTCCAACCCTAGCCAGCAGGAGAATGACACAGCAGTAGGGGCTACCTGCATCAGGAAAAAAAATCTCTTCTCCTCCCTTCTTCAAGTGTGCTCTCACCATTGCTCCATCCGCGAGTCATACCCTTCTATAGAAGTAAAATTGCCTTGCTGAGAAAATTAATGTTTGAGTGCTATTTCTTTTGTGGCATTGAAAATGTATTTATAACATTAATGTTTCACGTTTCTAAGTGTATTAACTTTTCTTTCATGTATTTTATATTATGACTGTGCACAGAATTCTAGGTTGGAAACTATTTTCCTTCAAAATCTTGAAGGAATTTCTACACTGTCTTCCAATATCTAGTCCTTGCTGTTGAGATGTTTAAGACTAGTCTAATCTTTGTTTATTGATAGGAGACATGCTTTATCTTCAAAAACGTGTAGAATGCTTGGTGTTCTGAAATCCTACCACATAATGGTAATTGTTAAAACACACACACACAAACACACACACACATTTTTTCTGAAGATCTTTTTAGTTAAATATTAAACCTCCTAGATTGGTCTTTTATGTCTCTTAGTTTTACCTCATCTTTTCTATTTCTTTTACTCTATTTTCTTTGAGATTACTTTACTTTTATCTTCCAGTCCTCTAAGTCCTATTGAATCTTTCTTTTTCTTTTCTTTTCCTTTTTTGAGACAGGGTCTCACTCTGTTGCCCAGGCACTATCTCAGCTCACTGCAGCCTCTGCCTCCTGGGTTCAAGGGATTCTCCTGCCTCAGCCTCCCAAGTAGCTGGGACTACAGGTGCACACCACTGCACCTGGCTAATTTTTGTATTTTGGGTAGAGACAGGGTTTCACCATGTTGTCCAGGCTGGTCTTGAACTCCTGAGCTCAAGTAATCTGCCTGCCTCAGCCTCCCAAAGTGCTGGGATTACAGGTGTGAGCCACTGTGCCTGGCCCTATTGAACTTTTCTATTTTAGCTGTCATGTTTTGAATCTCTAAAGTTTCTTTATTATAGATGAACTGTTCCTTATTCATTGCATTCTATTCTTATTACATGAGTGTAATGATTTCTCACATCGTGACTAGGATACCAATTAAAATTGGCAGATAATTAGAGAGCAAACTCTGGGGCCAAGCTGACCCGGATAGAATCATGGGCTCCACCACTTAGCTATAACTGTGGGTAACTGTGGAAACCAAAGTGGCCCTATTTTCATGCTAATCTGCCATGTTGATTTCTGATTAGCTCCAGTATCATGAATGCTCCTTGATTCCTGCTTTATTTACTGTCCTTAGTGTAAGAACTTGTCAACCTTGATGTTGTTGCAGAAATTATAGGCTGTGATGCGTATAGTATTCTTGCCTCTTCTGGAGGGTGCCTTTGTGTTGCTGGAGCACATACACCCTTTCCCTGTGGTCTACAAGCCTTGGATCTGGGGAGTAACAGTGTGGAGATCTACCTGTCTTGCTGCTGCTCAAGACCGCATTTCTGTCTGCAAGTTCCCTCAATGAAGCACCCTTTATCGGCAAACTGAATTTGTCTGCATGGCTCTTTGGTTTCTCAACTCCTGCAGCATTTGGGGACTGCTTCCCGTATACAGCCCTTTCACACAGCAGTAACTCATTCCACCTCCCTGTGCTTCAGTTTTCTTATTTGTTAAATGGAGATGGTAAAAATTCATATTTTGTAAGATAGTTCTCAGGAAGAAATGAGTTAATATATATAAAGCTCTTGGAATAATGCCTGACTTCAAATAAGTGCAATATAAATGCTGTTATTATTAAGTTATCTTCTGTTTTCTGCAGAGTTGGTTTTTCTGTTTTATTAATTTGGTCTTTTACTTTGTGCTTTTGGTTTTCATACATATATATATATATATATATATATATATATATATATATATATATAAATATATATATATATATATATAACATGTATATTTGTTATCCAATCACTTTTAAGAATAAAGAATGGGGCTCATTATTCTAGTTAATTTGTGTAGGTTTCCTCCGCTGCTGTGTGAATAGGTCTTTTCTCAAAAACTCCCCTTCACTGCTTTGAAATTTGACTGGCAGTTTATGTATGTAGGCAAGGGCGTGTTAAACGACCTGCTTTGTTTCAATATGAGTGATATGGATATCAGCTGACAGGTTGCAGTTTCCCTAAATGCTAAAACAAAGAGGTTTTAAACCTCTATACCCCCAATAAAAGCCTAAGCAGTTCAGCCACTTTATTTATCAAGGAGATTCCACTTGCTGGTGTAGGGAAAGAGGGATGAGAGGCACTGGGGAGAAATTTGGTTCAAAGACCTCCGGATAATCCCGTTTGCTCGACTTCCCATGTCTGCCTTCTGCCTCATTTGCCAACTTCATTTGGTGCCTCCAGTGAGAATACTGACTTTCACCTCCACCTCCACTGCAGTCTGCTCTTACTGGATTTGCATCTGCACTTTGCTCTGCTCCATTTCATATTTCAATAGGTTTTTATTCTCTTTCTGTATTTCAAAAATGTGTTGGAATCTCTGTTCAGATGTTAACTCTCTCCAATTATCTTCTTTGTTAATGAAATCCATTTTTTGTTACTTTTATATATCTTAAAATCACTAGGATTTCCAGGGAGTCCTGAGATTGATGGGAAGTTTGTTGCTCATTCTACTCTCTTGATCCGGAACTGACATCACAAATATTATTGTTGAGATCACTGCAGATTACCAGTTAATGACTTATCCCCCACCCTGCCCCACCCCGCTTCTTGATTCTGGAGCAATTGACAACAAAGCTAAAAGTCTTGTCTCAAAAAAAAAAAAAAAAAGACCACACATAAACAGTGACAATTGATGCATTATCTCTTCCAAAAACAGAAACCATGACTAATAGATGTTTGACTCTAATTGCTTCAATCAGTTAAGTCATTCCTTCTTCCTAGGAGGAGAAGTAAGAAGTAAAGAGAATAGCTGGTGCTTGATCCCTGTCTTAACCCATTTGGGGTGCTGTAAAGGGATGCCTGAGGCTGGACAGTTCATAAAGAAAAGAGGCTTAATTGGCTCATAGTGCTGCAGGTTGTACAAGAAGCATGGCACCAGCATCTGCTTGGCTTCTGGTGAGGGCTTTTGTGCTGCATCAAAACATGGCCTAGGAAGTCAAAGGGGAAGCAGGCATGTATGAAGTGGGACCAAACAGGAAGTGGGACCTCTCTTTCTTTATAACAACCCATGCTCAAGGGAAATAACCCATTCCCATGAGGACTAATTCTGTCTAGCCAGAAGGAGAACGCACACTCATTACCTGGAGGATAGCACCAAGCCTTTCATGAAGAATCTGCCCCCAGGACCCAAATATCTTCCACTAGGCCCAACCACACCACCACAAATTGGGGATCAAATTTCAACATGAGCTTTGGGTGAGGACAAACAAATAACCAAATCACAGCAGTCCCAAAGACTTGCCTGTGTGGTGAGAAGTATTAGTAAGTTCCTGTTTTTGAGCTGGGTAGGAATACAGAGTGTAACATGGTAGAGATATCCTTTTCCATTTATTTTACAGCTAAAGTACCTGAAACTTTGGAGGTTAAATGACTGGCTCGAGGGTATGGAATTGATAAATGATAAAGTTGGATTCTTAGATTTCTAACTTGGCGCCCTTTAATTCTTCAATGCTGCATCCCTGCTCTATGTTATGGTACTATGACCTCAAACATCAAAACACGAAATCTTCAAAGACGTATTTGATGAAGTTAAAAATATTTATTAATATTTAGAACTATCTTCTCACATGATCACAATACTGTAATTCCTAAGGTAAGAAAGGGAGCTAATATAGTTTAGAAATTCCAAAAAATATACTAGAAGCAAAAACATTTTCAAGTTCTCACTAATCTACAACATCTTATTAACCAGAATTTCGTGCCCTTTGCCTCACTTTTCAGGCTTTCTGGTATATAGTTTTCTAACACAGAAAATATTTTTATTTTCTGAATTTCTCATTTCAGTCTTTGAGTTTCTTAGGAAATAGTTGACTCCATTCCTATAAGTGCCCAGTAGTAAATCACAAGTGTCTGTATTTCTTAGTGCCAGAAAAAGCACAAAACGAAAAGGCTCCCTCAGGAGACATACATGTTGTGAGCTTCCATGACCGGCAGATGGATGGAATTTGGTGAAAGTCCATTTTACATGTGGATGGCTCCTAACATAGCTCTTCTCACAAAATAGCTGGTGATGACATTTGGCCATTTTCATGAAGCATCTCATTTTTTCCTCTGCTCAGCTTGAGATTGGTTCCTGAATTACAATCTCTGGCAGCACAGCTGAAACAGGAAACATTAAGTTGCTGGCACAGAGAAACCCCTTTCCTTTCCTTTACCCTGAGATTCCATTAAAGCATCTCAGCTAAAAGTTTTTATAATAGGTATTTCCATGTATTTGAGAAAAAGGAAACAACTAGCTGAAATAAAGCTTTCTGATGTTTTGTCCTTCATAACAAAAAAAATGATAAAGTAAAGAGAACATACTATCCAGGTAATTTAGCTAATTCAAAACCATATTTGTGACCTGACCATCTCAATAGTTTAGAAACAGTCTTTCTTCCATCATTTCAATATCTATAGAGGACCTCCGATGTGTTATGTACTGGATGACCAGGGCTGAGACCCTACTTTTAAGGAGCTCGTAAGTCTGGAGAGGGAGACAGAAGAATGAACTATTAAGTACAGTATTACATATTCCACACCACGCTGGGATGTGCTTTAGGCAAGTGTAGGAATACAGGATAATGAAGAAGAGCAGCTTATCTATCCAGTGCAAAGGGTAGGGGTGGCATGAGAGATGAACATGATCTTTGAACTTAACCCTAATTTAAAAAAAAAGACAGACTTTCCAAAAAGACAAGATATGAAAGGGTATCCTAGGCAGAAGGAGTGGAATATTTAGATAAGGAGGCATGAAAGAGGAAAGTGTGCTCTGAGCACAAAGCCTTTAGAGCTAGAGCAGAGCATGAGGTGAAGGGAAGGTAGATGACATCAGAGAATGGAAAAATGGTGTTGTTGACATGGCAATAGTTTGAACTTTGTCCTCCAGACCCATCTTTCCGATATCTGTGAGTTTCTTACATGCTTTTGCAGACTGGAATTTCTGGTGGTGCAGTAGAATAAACTTGCATCTCTAATTACTGCAGAATTTTTTCAGTCATGGTTTGAGCACAACTGCATCCTGCCCTGATCATGTGAAGAAGGAAATATTCCCTCATGTTTCATGGACACATGCTTTCCTGAACCCAGCCTGGCACTTCTCTGAGTGGCTTCGCTTACCTGCAGCAACCTGCGCTGCTGCTGCTCCATCCATCTCGGGATCGCCTCCATTCAGTGTTTCGTGTGAGAGGTGGCTCTGTCAGAGGATTAGCCCCCGCTGGAGCTAACGAAACCACATATGTACGCATTGCCCCAAATGTAGCAATACGCCTCTGAAAATGACAAATTCAGAAAATGATCCGTTGAAATTAAGTGGATGGTGACAAGAAAACATTTGTGCATTAGAAACTTAATTCTGAAGGATGAATTATCTACCTACATCATGGTCAGAACTTTAGGTAGTATCTATGGGATGAAAATGCACACATTTAAATTTATATAAATACACAATAATTTTAGAAAGCAGTATAGCATTGAGGTTAAGAGCCTAGGCTCTGGAGCAAATCAGCCTGGATCCAAATCATTGATCTCCTACTAGCCTATTTTTATGACATTATATAGAGAATTATAAAACATCTCTGTACTTCTGTTTCTTTATCTGTAAAGTGGGGGTTATAATAGCACTTATTTATTGGAGTTGTGAGGATTAAATGTAATAGTACGTATAAAGCAATTAGAATAATATCTGGCACAGAATTTATGCTCAGTAAAAGTTAGCTGTTATAATAAGATAAATTGATAGGATAAAGGAAGAAGGAAAAGAGGAGACATAGGGTAACTTGAACAATGGGAATGATAATTGATTGTATGGAAGGAATCTAGAAGGAGGTAAAAGCAAGAATCTAGAAGGAAAGAATCTAGAAGGAGGTAAAAATTGGGGGAAGATCATGAAAGAAGAAAGAATTTCAGTATTTGAGGTGTTAAATGTGAAGAGGTTGTGATATACATAAAGTGAGATGCCAAGTAGTCAGTTGGGTATATGTAAGTTGGAGGCTTATATGAAAGATGGGTGTGAGGATATAAATTTTGGGAACTCCAGTTTACAGGTGAAAGTTGGGGCCATTAGGTTATAGGAGACTGCCATTGAGAGAGTGAGGAGAAAACCCAATTTATCCTTAAGATAATTGCTTAAAATATTCAGATAATTTCCTCTTTTTTCCTCTTTAAGTTAATGCAGTTTTATTTTTCTGATGATGCAAGTAATACATGTTTTCTGCATAAAATTCTGGCTGATCTTCTTAATGGTCATTTTTAAAAAATTGTGATTCTTCCCCACGAGTTAGCCTTTGCTTGAGGAGAAAATCTTCTTGAGTTACCCCACATTGGGACTTTCACCACAAGACAAAATGCAAAAGTACCTCCTGCTCTGTTGTCTTCAGTGAAGGCCAAACAAAAGTAATCAGCTGGAGTTCTCCCCTCCTTAGATGAAAGCCCAGCTGTGTCCTGTCCAGACAGGGAGCTTGGAGCCAAGCGGCGGGGGGATAGGCCACTTACTCTGTGATGGAGGATAAATAGTGGGGCCCTTTGTGCTGCTGGCACGTTGGCAGGGCAGGCTGGTATTAGAGGAGAAAGCCTATGATTACTTCAAACACAGACATTTTCCCTCCAGTGGTGTTACTGTGCAGCCTGGAAGTTAAACTGCAAAGTGACCACCAGGGCACTTCCACGGCTCCAATGCAGCAGCCCCTGGTGAGAAGGAGGGCTACCGCCTGCCTAGGGGTGCTGAGGCCTAGGATCTGTGGCCCCTTCGGAGGGAAATGGATTCAGAAAGTCTTTCCACAGTGAACCTGTGCAAGCCTTATGAGTGCTGTCCCCTCTCCATCTGCCATTTCCAGCTTCTGGATCTGGACACGTCCACGGTAGATAAACCAGCAGGCCGACTCAGCTTGGGCACAGACACTAGCAAAGCTGAGCCACCAACCCCATGCCAATGAGCAAAGTTAAGCTTCGTGAAATCACACAGGTTTTAGCAATCAAAACATCTAGAAAAAAGCAATTTTGATTTCAGCATTCCTGCAAGTTGTGCTTCACTCTTTAGGTCTTATTCTGATCACTAACGTGGAGGACTCATCATATTTTTATGCTAAGAGCTTCTAAAGCTTAATTGACCCTTAGCAAATCACCAAAACAGATGCTCAGTGCCGGTATTATGGGGTGGTAGATGGTGAGCAGAGAATATCTATTCCAATCTATTTCTAAGACTATGACCATTTCCCTTGCATGTGGGGAGGAAGAAACAACCTAATGTTCTCTTTCCAGGCTCTTGGTCAGTTGTTTTCATGCATCTGGTCGCCCTCCTCAGCTGAGATACGAATAGAGATACAAATAGAGGATCTGCTGCTTTTGGCATTTTATTCCCTGCTGCCTCCTTACAGCCAGCTTTAGATTTACCACTCACCCTCAGTTACTCTGTTGGCTGCAATTCTACTCTGCTACTGCTTATAGACCTAACATTCCTTGGACAACTCCTCAGTATTTTAGGAAGTTTTCATGATGTTATCCTGTATTCTCTCTCTCTCTCTTTTTTTTTTTTTTTAGAGACAGGGTCTTGCTCTGTCACCCAGGCTAGAGTGCAATGGTGTGACCTTGGCTCACTGCAGCTTGGAACTCCTAGACTCAAGTGATCCTCCCACCTCAGCTACCCAAGTAGCTGGGTCTACAGGTGCACACCACCATGCCCAGCTAATTTTTAAATTTTCTGTGGCGATTCGGTCTCACCATGTTGCCCAGGCTGGTCTCAAACTCCTGGCCTCAAGTGACTCTCCTGCCTCAGCCTCCTAAAGTGCTGGGATTATAGCATGAGCTGTGCCCAGCCCGTCCTGTATTCTTTGAGTATGCTTTGTCCAAGTGTCGTTAAATGCTGCAGAGGGTTACTGATTACTATAAATCACACCAGGCAAGGCCAACACATGGTGAACTCTCTTCTTGAACCTCCAGAGAATCTAAGTATGTAAAGTTAGAAACAAACAAACAACAACAACAAAGCCATGGCCAGTCTGAAAGCAACTGCAAAACCCTCAAAGATTTTGCCTCTTGGCCACGAAAGCTTATTGTATGGGACACCTCAAATTTTTCACCCACTCTTTCTTCTTACTTTCTTTCCTTTTGCTTTTCTTGGGGTTTCCGATTGCAGGACGGCAACGATGTCACCATACAGAGCTCATGGCAGTTAGTCGGAGGATGCTACTTAAATCCTGACACTTACCCTACATTTACCATCCTCAGTCTTTCCTCAATCTTAGAGTCATGCCTTCGTCTCCCCAAATATCCCCTTCTCTCTCCTATTTTTCTATCACCCTCCCCCTTCAACACATATTTCCATTAGGAAGGCCAAGGGGAAAATAACCCACTAACCTCTAAGAAAAAAAGACCTTGGGTTTTCTTGTTGATGTTGAAGGAAAAAGAGACATCAACAGGACACCTCCTCCATCCCTTTAAATCCTAGCTACTACTAGGATTTGACTGATTTCCAACTCTGAAAAGGCTTCAGAAAATACTCAGCAACTCTGCAAACATGAGTAAGAGAATTTTGATAGATTAGGAACAAATGTTAACAGTCAAGATATTCTAAGAATGTTCTGCCTTTTCTATCCAGAAATATTTCAGTCGTGCTCCCTTTAAAAGACACAATTCGTTGTGTAACATATCTGACCTTTGACCCTTAGGATGTGGGGTATCAGGTGGTGATGGTGGGAGGGAGGCTTTTGCAGTCACTCTCTAGAATGAGCCTCTTCTTTAATAAGAAAAGGGTGGTTCTCACACCAAACATGGGAAAACAAATATTTTGAAAAGCAAACCTTTTTTGAAAAGCAAAAACAAATATTTTGAAAGCAAAAACCTTGGAAAGAAAAGCTTTAATGTCTATAATTCGTTCATGTCGTTTATTGCAATCTAAGTGGGAGTTGACTTGAACACACTGTGTGGGTGTGGGTGTGTGTGTACAAGAGAAGGATTGGGTAGGATTTCCCCCAACTCTGTTTTTTCAGAGGAGTTAAGATGAATTATAGTAAGAGTTGTTTCACTCCCAGAAAAGATTAATTTGGAAAACATTTCTTTTGACACGCTGCTTATAATTAAAGTAATTCTTCATTTTTCTCTGTTTCCTTTAAGTAAAAACTTGTGGCTTTATTTAACCTTCCATCAATTAACTCTCTCAAAGAAAAATAACCCTGAGCCCCATAAACATGCATATTTAATTCTTTATTGACAGAGAACAGAAGAGCAGTGACTGCCACTGGCTGCAAGGACTCCGGCATTACTACAGCTCCCAAGTCAGATACCCTGTGTGCACCAACCTCCAGTTTCCTGCTTTCTCTGGCAGGGGTTTTGATTCTGAAATCCTGCCTCCTACAAGTTTCACCAGTGCATACAGTTAGATACAGTAATTCTACTAAAATTATGCGGTTGGAAATGTTTGCATAGGAACATTCTTCATTCATCAAGCATGTTTCGATCTCTTTTGTGCTAGGCACTGAGGACACACTAGTGAGCAAAATAAACATTATCACTTCCTTTGGCTTGTAGTCCAGTGGGGAAGAAAGAAATTAACCAAATAATTAAAATAATACACAATTAAAAATAATATAAAGCATTATAAAGAAAAGTACTTCTTGCTTTAAGAATGCCACATTAGGGGAACTGACTTATACAGAGTAAGAGTGTGTTAGGGGAAGTTGTCAGGAAAGTTATCAGAAAGGTCTTTCCTGAGGATACGTCTGAACTAAGACCTGAAGGATGACTGCTGTGTTAATACCATGGAATTCCATATAGCAATTAAGGACACATGAAGAAAAACATGTATTGAAATAGATGGCCTTCTAAATCTAGTGTTTGGGAAAAATCAAGTTGCAAAATGATATTATGATATATTGAATTATTTTTTAACTTTTTTTGTATGCCCTGTTCTTTTTGCCATGTGGCTTTGTAGTAACTTCCTCTAGAATTGTGGATTACATATCCTTGCCCCGCTGAAACTAGGTTTAGCTGTATCATTGGCTTTGGTTCGTGAAAAGTGGGCAGAAGTGACCATGTGTCAGTTTCAAGGGAGACCTCAGAGACATGGCGTCTTTCTTCCTATCCTCTTATATTCAGGTGATCTTCTGTGAGATGAGCAAGGCCCAGGTAGCCTCTACCTCTTCATCCCAAACCCAGAACAAACACATATGGAACAGACATGAACACAGCCACACCCAGAAGACCCACAGCCTACTCTGCACAGCTACCTGTCTGAGCCCATCTGATTAACCAAACTTTAGCTGACTTGCAACCTCATGAGTTTGGGAAAAAATGCTTATTGTGAATCACCTAGTTTTGGGGTAGTTTGCTAGATAGCATTGTTGTAGCCATAATCAACAACACAGTTATACAATATAATACCATTTACGTAAATTTTGAAAATCTGTAAAACAAAGCTATGTATTATACACGAATACACATATAATTTAATATCGTAAGAAAAGGAATGGAAAAGAGATGCACCAGAATCACAATAGTCATTAGGGTACAGTGCTGCCTTTGACAGTATCTGAAGTGTTTCATTTCTTAAAAACAAAACCAAAACCCAAAGTGTGATTGGCAAGCTTTTAGACGTCAATAGGGCTAGACGGTAGATAAACAGGCTCTGGTTCAAATATATATATATATATATATATATATTTTTTTTTTTTTTTTTGAGACGGAGTCTTGCTCTGTCGCCCAGGCTGGAGTGCAGTGGCACGATCTCAGCTCACTGCAAGCTCCACCTCCCAGGTTCAGGCCATTCTCCTGCTTCAGCCTCCCAAATAACTGGGACTACAGGTGTCCGCCACCACGCGTGGCTAATTTTTTGTTGTTGTTATTGTATTTTTAGTAGAGATGGGGTTTCACCATGTTAGCCAGGATGGTCTTGATCTCCTGAATTCGTGATCTGTCCGCCTCAAGCTCCCAAAGTGCTGGGATTCCAGGCGTGAGCCACCGCGCCCGGCCTCAAATTTAACTTTACCCTGGGGTCCATACTGCTTTGCTGTTCAATTTTCACCCACCACACCCTTGCCAATTTAATTTCAAATTGCTTTAAATTGAGGCTGAACACTATACAAATTTGGGGTGTTGCAGATATAATTTATGGGGACTAGCTGGAGAGCCAAAACTTTTATCAGATTATAAATGTTAATGGAGCTATCTATATATAAGTGATTGATGGCATAATTTGACCCCGCTAATTGATTGTTTTTCACAGAATTACCTCTGCTTCTTGAAGTTCTGGTACTGTCATCCATCACTTCCAGAAGATGAGAAGAATGTGTTAAATACTTTCACTGAAGGGAGTATTTCCTGTGACTTCTATTATCAATTGTAAAAACTTAATCTCTGGTCTCCCTATTAGACTTAGTTTCACCAACTATTAATATTAACTACAATATTTATTATAATGCCAAAGTGTACAGATATAAAAAGAAATTAGTTGCAATCTCTGTTTTCTCACAGTTCTGACACAACTATAAATCAAAACAGATTTATAAATAAATTTAAACAAAATTACAGAAATGATTTTAAAAATCAAAATTAACGGATTATGTGACAGATGATATTTGAGGAAATGATGTTACCTCTCACAAGACAGAGAGCTTACATGCCCCACCTCTGTGGGCTTTTGAAGATTCAATTTGAAGTGATACCTAACTATGTGATTTGGTGTTTACTTAGTGCAAAGCCATTATTTCTAAATTATCTTTTCTTCCTTTTCTAACTAGCACATGACAGTAACATGGCATTTTTTGGTTCCAATGAAATAGTTGGAAGCACTAAAATCCTAAGGTATTGTTCAGCCATAAACATTCAGAATACCCAGATAAGCTTCTCTTAATTTTAGTTTGTCATTGAATTCAAAACACAGGATTTTAAAATTATTTTTAGAGATCAGACCCCCTTGAATGAGTAATATTAACTTAGATTTTTTTAAAACTTAAAAATTCTTAATAACCATCTGTAGACAACCAGAATTGGTATGTTCATGGTGAGTGAAGTCTGATTTTAAGATGTCTGATAATTCCCACTGCCTCAATATTATATTGGACAAAAAAGTATCACTCTGTGGCCTGGTTTTAAGGCTTACATCAGTATGGCAGTCTTGGGAATTTAATGTTTCACCTTTCCTGAGAGTAATAAAAGATCTGAAGAGTGAGAACTCAGGGTAAGTCTCTGCAGATTTAAGCGGACTTAGATGGGAATGGTGGCTCATACCTGTAATCTCAACACTTTGGGACACTGAGACAGGGGGACTGCTTGAGGCCAGGAGCTCAAGACCAGCCTGGGTAACATAGTGAAATCCTGCCTCTAATTTTTTTTTTACTAGAAAAAAAAGAAGTTGAAGTCAATTAGAAGACCAGACAAAACTCTGGGATATGTAGCTTAAGGTCAGTCCCAATAGACAGATGAAAACCCCTGGAGGTGGGAAATAATGAAAACAATAAGATACATAAAGATATAAAGTGTTATTACCATTACATATATGTATAGGACACTTGCAAATAGTAGGGGTTAGATCCAGAGCCACCCAACAAAGAGCCTGGGATTCCACCAGTCAACACTCCCAGCACTGAGTCTGTAGACTCTCTGGGTTTTTACCAGATGGCCTCAACACAGAAACATCCATTGGATACAGGAGCTCAGAAACCGCTTGTTGATCACAGTTGTTTTGCAGAAGTGGCTCTTTATGAGAAGTATTGTGCCCTGTTCTTTACCTCTCATCCTTTCGATGCTCACTTGTTCTAGAAAAAAACTGCTGTGGAAGTCCCTTCAAAGCAATGTCTTTTCTGAAGGACAATGGAGAGCAGAAGGTGCTTAAAACTTGTTTTCTGCATGAGAATAATGATGGAAAATATTGTGGGTCTCTCTTAAAAGATGGAACCAAGTTAGCATTTAAGCCACGACTAAGTAAAAGCCATAGACAGAATCAACTAGTTCTTGATCACATTCTGCATGTGCTTATAACTGATTGTAAAAATAATAATAATAATAATGATAAAATTAAAAATTGTTCAGGTTAAGAACGCCAGGAACTAGATTAGTTGTTGCTTTCAGTGATTTGTCATGCAGGGCACTTTTAAGCAATAAGAACTGATAAAAATACTGGCTCCAAACAATATTGGTTTTTTGTTTGTTTGTTTTGTTTTTCTGTCTTTTTTTTTTTTTTTTGAGACAGAGTCTCACTCTGTTGCCCAGGCTGGGGTGCAGTAGTGGAGTGACCTTGGCTCATTGCAACCTCCGCCTCCTGGGTTCAAGAGATTCTCCTGCCTCAGCCTCCTGAGTAGCTGGGATTACAGGCGTGCACCACCACTACTGGCTAGTTTTTGTATTTTTAGTAGAGATGGGGGTTTCACCATGTTGGTCAGGCTGGTCTCGAACTCCTGAACTCAGGTGATCCACCTGCCTCGGCCTCCCAAAGTGCTAGGATTACAGGTGTGAGCCACCACGCCTGGCCTACTACATTGTTTTATCATAAAAATATGGAAAGAGCCGTCAGTGCAGTAAAAGTATAATAATTGTACGGATGTTATCATGCAAGCCTGGTTTACTGAAGGGAAATCTCTGGGTCAGGTCTACACCCAGAATCTAGGTTTTCTAGTAATAACACACTGCAATTCACAGAAGGGGGGCTTTATCCCTGCCTTTGCTTAAATTTGCTACACTAACTTAGTTTTTTAAAACGCAGTGTGTCAAAGATAGGTTTACTTCCCTCGGGCTTTATTGCCAGATTATGGCATTTATTTCAGTGTTATTCCTAGTCTGTAACACACTAACAAAAACTTGTGATATACAAAGTAACTGCTAATATTCTAGAGAGTCCCATTAGCTGTGCCCTTACAGTAATATAGAGACTTAGCAACATACATTTTGAATAATTATGAATCACATATGGGAACAAACATCGTTCTGTAACATCTTGTTCTACTTTAAGTATTTTCAACATTTGCCCCAAGAAATCTTGTAATGAACTGCAAGTTTTCTTCTTTCCCCATTGTAGATATGGAGATATGGTATGACACAAGGTGTTTTCAGATACCTCCTGTGACCACTACCATTTTAAATGTCTGGATGGCACACTCCTCCTGCACTTTGCTATTGGAAGTGGTCCTTGCCAACTAAGGAAATAGCTTTGGTTCATGTATTACTCAGCTAGGGCTACCGTAACTCAATGTTACAGGCTGGGTGACAAAAACAACCAAAATTAATTTCTTTACAGTTCTGGAGGCTGAACATCTAAGATCTAGGTTTTTCTCAGGATTGGTTTCTCCTGCAGTCTCTCCTTATGGCTTGCAGGTGACTGTCTTCCCCCTGTGCCCTCACATAGCCTTTGCTTTGTGCACGTGCATCTGTGCCATCTCTCCCTGTTCTCATATTGGATTAAGTTCCCACCCTTATGACCTCATTTAAGTTTTATCACTCTTCAAAAGCTCTATCTGCAAATACACACTAGGATCAGGTTAAGAACGTGATCCTTACTAAGACTTATTTCCTCTTCAGTAAAGCAACAACTAATCTAGTTCCTGGCATTCTTAACCTGAACAATTTGTCAACATACAAATTTTGGGGGACACAATTCAATCTGTGACATTCCACAACCTCATGGAGATAATGGAGAGGTGTCTTATGACCATCTTCATAGGTAAGAGACACATCACATTTCTCCTCCAGACTTTACAGATCTCATGATGTATAATCTGACCACCAGGATGCCATGTTATTCCACCCAGTATTATAATGAACGCACATACTCCCAGATGTTCTCTGCTGCCTGAATCAGCCTACAGCTGGCTTCATCACCCCTTTTGTTGCCAGATTCAGAAATAATGCTATCGTGTGCTCCAACTGATTCGTGGATGGAGTTACTTCAAGTGGCATCTTTCTGTCTGACCCAAAATTGAAATATAGCGTCATAAAACAAAGAAGGTCAAAATTATCCAGGTTAGTGATTAGAGACCACTCTTGGTACAGTCTCTGACAGGAGTTGCTCAAGGAAGATCCTAACGGTGCTCCAAGCCAACAAAGCATTCAGATCATGAGGGCGTTTCCTAAAAAGTGTCCTTTAAGTTAAAACTAGGATGTATGCCGTTGTTTAAGTGAAAGGCTGCTAGGATTATCTTTTCATAAAATAAAATACCACTTGCTCTAGAGGCGGAGAGACTACACAAAACACAAAGACGTGAATGTGATCACTTGGCAGCCGGACAGAAGTTAGGAAAAGATACCTGTGCTCTAAAATAAAGAATATTCTGTGCATACCAAAAAATGTAAACTATGTAGACTCTTGTCATTCCTTATCAAAATATACTGGAAGATACAAGAACTGCAAGACTTTATTTCCTCTTCAGTAACCACTTGGGTTTCATTTTGAAGAAGAGGGAGAGAACCTTCCACAAAATAACTTTGTCATTGTTGATTACTCGCCAGATCCCAGATATGATTCATTCCTTTATTTGGAATCGGAAAAGAGCCACACAAGACTGTGAGTACATATAAAACCAGATAGACCAGTGAGGTCAATGTTGATTTGTGCAATTAGCCAGACCTGGGAGCTCTCAGTAGAAACTGCTTTGATTTTTGACTTTTAGAAAGTTATTCTACCAGAGAATTATTATGGTAATTGAAATTAGGAAGGGAATTACGGTTGAACCCTAAATAACATGATGTAGATGCTAAAACTGCTATTTAGCTGTTACACTGAACTATTTGGAACAATGGGAGGACAGGGTCTACTTGTGAGAGCACTAATTTTAATTTTGGGATTGCCAATTTGTTGGCCTTTCACTGTTTCCTTAAAGGAAATGCAGGGTCTGAAAGAACTTGCCTAAGGCCTATATTCAAGGAGAAAATTATGAGCTTCACTTCCTAAGGAGGAGACATTTAACTTCTTCCTCCTTTGAGGGTGGTGCAGGCTTCACATTCATGGGTGTCAAAATCTCTGCTACAAAATGAGAGATTCCCTGTGATGGATAAGTTGTAAGAGCTAACTACTTTGGAAATGATCTTGTCCTTTACAAGTGTTTACATACCTCATTATTTTTCTGAAATAAAGAGGAGTGTGCAGGAGTGCTACTATTAAGATGTGACTTATAGATACCATGTATCCTAAAAGATCAGGGCTAAAGTTTGATTATCATAAAGCATAATTCTGACAGTTAATTTCTTTATGTCTTCATCTGTCAAGACATTAGCAGATATTTAATGAACGGATATCAAATGGCAAACATTATTTATCTTTATGAGATGATTGAGAGGATTATTACGGTGGTGAATTAAGAGTCACAAAGAAGCAAGTTAGAAAGTAGAGACTCATGAGAAGCAAATCAGTGAAAGTTACAAAACACATTTTGAAAAAAGTGAGCATGGTTTGTCCTACGTTTTTTCCCAAATTGACAATGAATTTTACTTTTTGTTCCTATCTTTTCAAAAATATATAATACATGCATGTTGTGATATTCAAACACAATAGAACTAGATGAGAGTCCTTGGTAACAGTAGCCCAGAGAGACAAGCACAGTTAACCATATGGCGTCTTATTTTTTCAAATTTATTTTACATATATATTATCAAGTTACTATTGTTATAAAAATGGGTATATGGGAGAGGAGCCAAGATGGCCAAATAGGAACAGCTCCGGTCTACAGCTCCCAGCGTGAGCGACGCAGAAGATGGGTGATTTCTGCATTTCCATCTGAGGTACCGGGTTCATCTCACCAGGGAGTGCCAGACAGTGGGCGCAGGTCAGTGGGTGTGCGCACCATGCGCCAGCCGAAGCAGGGCGAGGCATTGCCTCATTCGGAAGCGCAGGGGGTCAGGGAGTTCCCTTTCCTAGTCAAAGAAAGGGATGACAGACAGCACCTGGAAGATCGAGTCACTCCCACCCAAATACTGCGCTTTACCAAAGGGCTTAAAAAACAGCGCACCAGGAGATTGTGTCCGGCACCCGGCTCCGAGGGTCCTACGCCCACGGAGTCTCGCTGATTGCTAGCACAGCAGTCTGAGATCAAACTGCAAGGCGGCAGCGAGGCTGGGGGAGGGGCGCCCGCCATTGCCCAGGCTTGCTTAGGTAAACAAAGCAGCCTGGAAGCTCGAACTGGGTGGAGCCCACCTCAGCTCAAGGAGGCCTGCCTGCCTCTGTAGGCTCCACCTCTGGGGGGCAGGGCACAGACAAACAAAAAGCAGTAACCACTGCAGACTTAAGTGTCCCTGTCTGACAGCTTTGAAGAGAGCAGTGGTCTCCCAGCACACAGCTGGAGATCTGAGAATGGGCAGACTGCCTCCTCAAGTGGGTCCCTGACCCCTGTGCCCCGAGCAGCCTAACTGGGAGGCACCCCCCAGCAGGGGCAGACTGACACCTCACACAGCCGGGTACTCCAACAGACCTACAGCTGAGGGTCCTGTCTGTTAGAAGGAAAACTAACAAACAGAAAGGACATCCACACCAAAAACCCATCTGTACATCACCATCATCAAAGACCAAAAGTAGAGAAAACCACAAAGATGGGGAAAAAACAGAGCAGAAAAACTGGAAACTCTAAAAAGCAGAGCACCTCTCCTCCTCCAAAGGAACGCAGTTCCTCACCAGTAACGGAACAAAGCTGGATGGAGAATGACTTTGACAAGCTGAGAGAAGAAGGCTTCAGATGATCAAATTACTCCGAGCTACGGGAGGACATTCAAACCAAAGGCAAAGAAGTTGAAAACTTTGAAAAAAATTTAGAAGAATGTATAACTAGAATAAATAATACAGAGAAGTGCTTAAAGGAGCTGATGGAGCTGAAAACCAAGGCTCGAGAACTACGTGAAGAATGCAGAAGCCTCAGGAGCCAATGCGATCAACTGGAAGAAAGGGTATCAGTGATGGAAGATGAAATGAATGAAATGAAGCGAGAAGGGAAGTTTAGAGAAAAAAGAATAAAAAGAAATGAGCAAGGCCTCCAAGAAATATGGGACTATGTGAAAAGACCAAATCTACGTCTGATTAGTACCTGAAAGTGACGGGGAGAATGGAACCAAGTTGGAAAACACTCTGCAGGATATTATCCAGGAGAACTTCCCCAATCTATCAAGGCAGGCCAACATTCAGATTCAGGAAATACAGAGAACGCCACAAACATACTCCTCAAGAAGAGCAACTCCAAGACACATAATTGTCAGATTCACCAAAGTTGAAATGAAGGAAAAAATGTTAAGGGCAGCCAGAGAGAAAGGTCGGGTTACCCTCAAAGGGAAGCCCATCAGACTAACAGCTGATCTCTCGGCAGAAACTCTACAAGCCAGAAGAGAGTGGGGGCCAATATTCAACATTCTTAAAGAAAAGAATTTTCAACCCAGAATTTCATATCCAGCCAAACTAAGCTTCATAAGTGAAGGAGAAATAAAATACTTTACAGATAAGCAAATGCTGAGAGATTTTGTCACCACCAGGCCTGCCCTAAAAGAGCTCCTGAAGGAAGTGCTAAACATGGAAAGGAACAACCGGTACCAGCCGCTGCAAAATCATGCCAAAATGTAAAGACCATTGAGACTAGGAAGAAACTGCATCAACTAATGAGCAAAATAACCAGCTAACATCATAATGACAGGATCAAATTCACACATAACAATATTAACTTTAAATGTAAATGGACTAAATGCTCCAATTAAAAGACACAGACTGGCAAATTGGATAAAGAGTCAAGACCCGACAGTGTGCTGTATTCAGGAAACCCATCTCACGTGCAGAGACACACATAGGCTCAAAATAAAGGGATGGAGGAAGATCTACCAAGCAAATGGAAAACAAAAAAAGGCAGGGGTTGCAATCCTAGTCTCTGATAAAACAGACTATAAACCAACAAAGATCAAAAGAGACAAAGAAGGCCATTACATAATGGTAAAAGGATCAATTCAACAAGAAGAGATGACTATCCTAAATATATATGCACCCAATACAGGAGCACCCAGATTCATAAAGCAAGTCCTGAGTGACCTACAAAGAGACTTAGACTCCCACACATTAATAATGGGAGACTTTAACACCCCACTGTCAACATTAGACAGATCAACAAGACAGAAAGTCAACAAGGATACCCAGGAATTGAACTCAGCTCTGCACCAAGCGGACCTAATAGACATCCACAGAACTCTCCACCCCAAATCAACAGAATATACATTTTTTTCAGCACCACACCACACCTATTCCAAAATTGACCACATAGTTGGAAGTAAAGCTCTCCTCAGCAAATGTAAAAGAACAGAAATTATAACAAACTATCTCTCAGACCACAGTGCAATCAAACTAGAACTCAGGATTAAGAATCTCACTCAAAACCGCTCAACTACTTGGAAACTGTACAACCTGCTCCTGAGTGACTACTGGGTACATAACGAAATGAAGGTAGAAATAAAGATGTTCTTTGAAACCAACGAGAACAAAGACACAACACACAAGAATCTCTGGGACACATTCAAAGCAGTGTGTAGAGGGAAATTTATAGCACTACATGCCCACAAGAGAAAGCAGGAAAGATCCAAAATTGACACCCTAACATCACAATTAAAAGAACTAGAAAAGCAAGAGCAAACACATTCAAAAGCTAGCAGAAGGCAAGAAAAAACTAAAATCAGAGCAGAACTGAAGGAAATAGAGACACAAAAAACCTTTCAAAAAATTACTGAATCCAGGAGCTGGTTTTTTGAAAGGATCAACAAAATTGATAGACCGCTAGCAAGACTAATAAAGAAAAAAAGAGAGAAGAATCAAATTGATGCAATAAAAAATGATAAAGGGGATATACCACTGATCCCACAGAAACACAAACTACCATCAGAGAATACTACAAACACCTCTATGCAAATAAACTAGAAAATCTAGAAGAAATGGATAAATTCCTCGACACATACACTCTCCCAAGACTAAACCAGGAAGAAGTTGAATATCTGAATAGACTAATAACAGGATGTGAAATTGTGGCAATAATCAATAGCTTACCAACCAAAAAGAGTCCAGGACCAGATGGATTCACAGCCGAATTCTACCAGAGGTACAAGGAGGAACTGGTACCATTCCTTCTGAAACTATTCCAATAAATATAAAAAGAGGGAATCCTCCCTAACTCATTTTATGAGGCCAGCATCATCCTGATACCAAAGCCGGGCAGAGACACAACCAAAAAAGAGAATTTTAGACCAATATCCTTGATGAACATTCATGCAAAAATCCTCAATAAAATACTGGCAAACCGAATCCAGCAGCACATCAAAAAGCTTATCCACCATGATCAAGTGGGCTTCATCTCTGGGATGCAAGGCTGGTTCAATATACGCAAATCAATAAATGTAATCCAGCATATAAACAGAACCAAAGACAAAAACCACATGATTATCTCAATAGATGCAGAAAAGGCCTTTGACAAAATTCAACAACCTTCATGCTAAAAACTCTCAATAAATTAGGTATTGATGGGACGTATTTCAAAATAATAATGGCTATCTATGACAAACCCACAGCCAATATCATACTGAATGGGCAAAAACTGGAAGCATTCCCTTTGAAAACTGGCACAAGACAGGGATGCCCTCTCTCACCACTCCTATTCAACATAGTGTTGGAAGTTCTGGCCAGGGCAATTAGGCAGGAGAAAGAAATAAAGGGTATTCAATTAGGAAGAGAGGAAGTCAAATTGTCCCTGTTTGCAGATGACATGATTGTATATCTAGAAAACCCAATTGTCTCAGCCCAAAATCCCCTTAAGCTGATAAGAAACTTCAGCAAAGTCTCAGGATATAAAATCAATGTACAAAAATCACAAGCATTCTTATATGCCAACAGCAGACAAACAGAGAGCCAAATCATGAGTGAACTCCCATTCACAATTGCTTCAAAGAGAATAAAATACCTAGGAATCCAACTTACAAGGGATGTGAAGGACCTCTTCAAGGAGAACTACAAACCACTGCTCAAGGAAATAAAAGAGGATACAAACAAATGGAAGAACATTCCATGCTCATGGGTAGGAAGAATCAATATCGTGAAAATGGCCATACTGCTCAAGGTAATTTATAGATTCAATGCCATCCCCATCAAGCTACCAATGCCTTTCTTCACAGAATTGGAAAAAACTACTTTAAAGTTCATATGGAACCAAAAAAGAGCCCGCATCACCAAGTCAATCCTAAGCCAAAAGAACAAAGTTGGAGGCATCACACTACCTGACTTCAAACTATACTACAAGGCTACAGTAACCAAAACAGCATGGTACTGGTACCAAAACAGATATATGGATCAATGGAACAGAACAGAGCCCTTAGAAATAACACCGCATATCTACAACTATCTGATCTTTGACAAACCTGAGAAAAACAAGCAATGGGGAAAGGATTCCCTATTTAATAAATGGTGCTGGGAAAATTGGCTAGCTATATGTAGAAAGCTGAAACTGGATCCCTTCCTTACACCTTATACAAAAATTAATTCAAGATGGATTAAAGACTTAAATGTTAGAACTAAAACCATAAAAACCCTAGAAGAAAACCTAGGCATTACCATTCAGGACATAGGCGTGGGCAAGGACTTCATGTCTAAAACGCCAAAAGCAATGGCAACAAAAGCCAAAATTGACAAATGGGATCTAATTAAACTAAAGAGCTCCTGCACAGCAAAAGAAACTACCATCAGAGTCAACAGGCAACCCACAAAATGGGAGAAAATTTTCGCAACCTACTCATCTGACAAAGGGCTAATATCCAGAATCTACAATGAACTCAAACAACTTTACAAGAAAAAAACAAACAACCCCATCAAAAAGTGGGCAAAGGACATGAACAGACACTTCTCAAAAGAAGACATTTATGCAGCCAAAAAACACATGAAAAAATGCTCACCATCACTGGCCATCAGAGAAATGCAAATCAAAATCACAATGAGATACCATATCACACCAGTTAGAATGGCAATCATTCAAAAGTCAGGAAACAACAGGTGCTGGAGAGGATGTGGAGAAATAGGAACACTTTTACACTGTTGGGACTGTAAGCTAGTTCAACCATTCTGGAAGTCAGTGTGGCGATTCCTCAGGGATCTAGAACTAGAAATACCATTTGACCCAGCCATCCCATTACTGGGTATATACCCAAAGGACTATAAATCATGCTGCTATAAAGACACATGCACACATATGTTTATTGCGGCATTATTCACAATAGCAAAGACTTGGAACCAACCCAAATGTCCAACAATGATAGACTGGATTAAGAAAATGTGGCACATATACACCATGGAATACTATGCAGCCATAAAAAATGATGAGTTCATGTCCTTTGTAGGGACATGGATGAAATTGGAAATCATCATTCTCAGTAAACTATCGCAAGAACAAAAAACCAAACACCGCATATTCTCACTCATAGGTGGGAATTGAACAATGAGAACACATGGACACAGGAAGGGGAACATCACACTCTGGGGACTGTTGTGGGTTGGGGGGAGAGGGGAGGGTTAGCATTGGGAGATATACCTAATGCTAGATGACGAGTTAGTGGGTGTAGCGCACCAGCATGGCACATGTATACATATGTAACCTGCACATTGTGCACATGTACCCTAAAACTTAAAGTATAATAATAATAAATAAAAAATTTTTAAAAATGGAAAAAAATAAATAAAAAAATAAAAATGGGTATATAATATATATTGCTCTGCAATATTTATTCACTAATCATATTATGGGTAACTTTTGCATACATATTAATCACACACGCTAGTAAGCACATTAAATTTGATAAAAGAAGAAATTATGAGCTGTGCTTTGCTCTATTAAGTGGAAATAAAGATGAGTTGGAGGACTTTTAGCTGTCAACTTATACTCTTCTGAAGAATTTAAATTTTATTCACTACCATTTATTATTTTTATGATTGATAGCTAGAAAAAGCAAGTGAACAAGAGAGAAAAAGAGAGGTTAAATTTAAAAGAATAAAGTAGAATAATAACTCACGTGGTTGGTTGTGATTTTTCTATTAAAAATATTTTATGAAAAATTAAGCATTTAAATAGCAAATCTTTTTACCATTTGTGGACAAATCTACAAACACCAGGCAAAATTTTGTCCATATTCTCAAGAGAAATCATTTGCTCTGGTAGAAATCATGTCCGCCCTTTTCCAGTTATCTTAGGTGAGTGTTCATTCTGAGTGGCCTGATCTTGCTTATTGTAATCATGTGTGCTCTCTTCCTGTGAGGGAAAATTCTGATTCAAAGCTTTTTGTTGTTGTTACCAACCTGACTAATGACTCTTAAGAACACAAGGTTCAGTAAATTCCCTGAGAAGTTTTATTTCTATGGCCTAGTTTTTTATTATTTTTTATTCTGAGGTAATGCCTGGACCCAGTAGAGGGAAATCTTTATTTACTTTGATCTTACTAAGAGCTCATGTAAAGCTGGGAACTGCATGCGAGAACAAATATACTAAAAAGTATGATTGTTTGGTATTGTGTTTCTTTCCAGTACATTACACAGAGTTTTCTCTATGAAGGCTCCTGGGAGAAGTTTCTTTCTGGTCTCAAGTACAGTGAAAGCGTTTAAGCAATTAATATGTTTTTACATTACAGACAATGTGGATTTTGCAACAAAGACTGTTTCTGGCTTTTATATTACTTAAAATATGTAACCTAGATGTCCCTAGACCCCACCAGCCTAGGGGCACAAATGAGTCACATTAACATTAATTCCCCAATACTATAGAGCTGATGTGCCTCAACCCCCTACAGAGAAGACTCCTGCTCCAAACATCCTGCATATCCCTCAGGGTGTATCATGCGTGCTTATATTTGTTGCTTGTAAGTAACAGAAAGCAATTATTTCAGCTTAAGCCAAGAAAAAGACATTTGTTATAATGACTAGGAGATGACCTGTAGAAACTAAGGGCAGAAAGGCACCCTTGCCTCAGAAAAGACTGGAACCAGAGATTCGAGTGTCATCAGGAAGCTCCCTCTGTCTTTCATATCTGCTCCTTGATGCATAATTCTCTCCCCTTCCCTCCATCTCCCTCTTCTACCTTTCCCCTCTTCCTCTCCCTCCCCCTTCTCTCTCTCTGTCTCTCTCTCTCAGCTTCTTCTGCTGGTCCAACTCAGTGACAGGACTTTGAAGTTTACATGACACAGATCTAGCTACCTGGAGAGAAACTGCAACTATTTCTTGGTCTCAATTTGAATGGGACTGATAGTCCTGTTACAGTAGGTAGTTAGACAAAAGCAGGGCAGGAGAGCGTTCCCCACACACCAGGAATGTCAGGCAGCCATCAGATAATGGTCAGGTGGTTGTTAACTGTCGCTCTAAAGTAATAATTGGTCACAGCTGGTGCCAGGGAAAGGCAGACTCTCAATAGATAGAAAACCTGAAACTGATGATCAGCAGCTTCCTGATAAGATTTCAGGAGTCGGGCAAGCAGGCTCAAGCATCCACACTAAGATGCAAAATGGCGGAGTTTAACTGGTATATGACCTTTCTCTAGGAACACTCGACTGGTAAGGGAAAAACGCCTCAAGTGAGCATACGTACAACTTAAACACACTGCATATGCAGCCCCTCCCAAGTGCTAGCAGGCCACTGCAGGTGTGGAATGCCAACATATCAAATCCCAAGTCAACAGTCAAACCAGGTACTTGAATCTCTTAAGCAGCTCACTTCGCCCTCTTCCAATTGTACTTTACTTCCTTTCATTCCTGACCTAAAACTTTTCAATAAACTTTCATTCCTGCTGTAAAACTTGCCTCAGTTTCTCACTCTGCCTTATGCCCCTTGGTTGAATGCTTTCTTCTGACAAGGCAAAAATGGAGGTTGCTGTAGACCCATATGGATTTGCTACTCCTAACAGTCCTAGCTTGAGCTGATTGCCCACCTCTGTGCCAGCCCACTGTGGCAAGGGTGGCAAGTCATGTGACCCTCGAATGTCCTGGTGGCCAGGTGGGTGAAAGAGTATAGTTTCCAGAGAAGGGGATGAGTGGGACTACACTGACAGCACATGACAGCTTAAAGTGGAACTGTGGCTGTCTGGTCATGGCTTCTCATCTCATGGAGCAGTGCCTTCCATGCTTCTCAAGACCATTCCACCAAGAAACATGCTGCTCAGTTGTGATGCCCTTACAACAAATTGTAAAGCTGCAAACTCTCAAGATGATGAAACATCAACAACAATCAAACATCAAGATGCTGAAACAAACAATCAGTCCTTTTGCTCTGGAGCCATCAGTGTACCCGCAGGAAGATAAGAAGAATGTCTGTCTTCATAGGAGGCAGATCTCCCTGACTCCAGGCTAGGTTTATTTTGCCCAAGTTTACACAACAAAAACAGAGTGAAAATAGTATTTGAGCCCACATCTGTCTGATTTTGAAATCACTTAGCATTGATTTTCCTGGTCCCTTGAAACAACCTCCCTTAATCTTTCTTGAAGTGTAATGGACTACCTCTAAGCAAAATTGTGAAGAAGGAAAGTCATATCTCATTGCCCTATAAACGAAATATCCAAGTCTCTCATAACAGATTCCCTGGAGTCTGTTTCTCCAGGATCAAGCTCTTTACTATTAACACCAGGTATTGAATTAATCAAGAAAACATATGCTAAAGTACTCACCATCAAATGCTACTGCCGGCATGAAAATTGAGAGTTCACTGATATTGTTATGTGCATGTGTCTGGAAGAGCATTACAAAAACAATCCAATTTAGATCCTGTGTTAGGCAGGAGAAGTACCACCATGATTTTTTTCTCCCCCCTCTAATCAACTCATAAAGACATCTTTTCCTACGCATCAGTTTGCATTTGCTTTCTCACAACACCCCACTGAAATATTTAAAATAAAAAATAGAAAAAATATATATCTTAATGATAGAAAAGGGAGAAGAAAATCATCAATAAGTCAAATATTTTGAGGAATTTCTAAAAGTTAAGTGTACACAGGACTTCATTGGAAGATATAGCAAATTGCTAGCAGTTGAACAAATACAAAGAAAACAATCTTTATGGTCCAGATAGCTTTAGAGGTAAATTTTATTATTCTTCCTGAAATGGGATTCCAATAATACTTAAACTCTTTCAACAACTTAGAAAAGAAATTCAACTTCCAAATATACTGTATCGAGACTATAAAATTTTGCAGGATATTTAAAGTACTTATAGCTGTTGTCTAGGCAGTTCAAGTTTTAAAAAAAAGTAAGGTAAGTTATACATTTGGGGATTTAATTTTTTAACCAAATATTTTCATTGTTAATTACCCCTTGGAAACAAAAAGTGAGCATTATATTGACAAGTCTAGCCTTCACATAGTAAATATGTTCTTTTAACATACCATTCAACAAAGATAGTGTAGACATTTTAAGTCAGAGTCTAAAAGAGGTCATTTATATCACACCTGTTACATCCATTCTGGGAAAAATTGTGAGTCTCCTATCTGTAGACCACAGCTGAGAGAAGAGGGAAGTGGACTATGTGGTTTCACTTTATTGTTTTACTTTAAGTCTAAAACAAACAAAGTACCTTCTTTCTCTTTCTAAGGACCTGATTGTAAATGTGTTTAATTTAATTAAAATATACTAGAAGGTTAGGAAGTTGAAAAGGCTATTTATAACTATTCAAGGGAACATCGAGCTATTCTGTAACTCCAAGCTATTAGGACCTAATACCAAACCCAAAGATAAATCACAAAAAGAAAAGTAGAATGTTAGCTTAGTTATTTATAGGTATAAAATATTAAATTAATATTAGTAAATCATATGCCCCAATATCTACACTATGTCTAAAATAGTTGGTCTAAAAAAGTGCCTATAAAGATAGTTCACTATTTTAAAAGCTATTAATAGAACAGAGGAGATCTTACCCTGATAGAAACTGAAAGGACATTTGGTGAAATATTGTTGACTAAAATAAAATTTTTGGTAAAACAAGAAGAAATATCTACTTCTTTAACATAATAAATGTTTTCTTAAACAACTGAAAGTTTTCTTTCCTAGTTTTTCATTTCTGTTTTAACTTTTAAGTTAAAATTTAGCATTATACCAATTTTCCATTATAAGTACAAGTGCAGGTTTGTTACATAGGTAAACTTGTATCATGGGGGTTTGTTGTACAGATTTTTTCATCACCCAGGTATTAAGCCTAGTAGTGCCTCTTAGGTATTTATCTTGATCATCTCCCTCTCCTCCCACCCTCCAAAGGGCCCCAATATGTGTTGTTCCCCTCTGTGTCCATGTGTTCTCATCATTTAGCTCCCACTTATAAGTGAGAAATGTAGCATTTGGTTTTCTGTTCTTGTGTTAGTTTTCTAAGAATAATGGCCTCCAACTCCAATTATGTCCCTGCAAAGAATATGATCTTGTTCTTTTTTATGGCTGCATAGTATTCCTTGGTGTATATGTACTACCTTTTCTTTATCCAGTCTATCATTGATGAACATTTAGGGTGACCCATGTCTTTGCCATAAATAACTGTTTCAGACAGTCATCATTACTTGCAAAATACTAGAAACTTACCATTAAAGTTTATAACAAGATAAGGATTGTAAATTATTATTATTTAATATTGTTTTAGATGTTCTAGCCAATACAATTAATAATTAGTTAAAGAAAATAAATTAGTTAAAGAAAATAGACTGGGTGTGTTGCTCACACCTGTAATCCCAGCACTGCAGGAGGCTGAGGTGGGTGGATCATCTGAGGTCAGGAGCTCGAGACTAGCCTGGTCAACATGGTGAAACCCCGTCTCCACTAAAAAATACAAAATTAGCTAGGTCTTGTGGTGTGTACCTGTAATCCCAGCTACTCAGGAGGCTGAGGCAGGAGAATCACTTGAACCCAGGAGGCGGAGGTTGTGGTGAGCCAAAATTGTGCCATTGCCTTCCAGCCAGGGCAACAAGAGTGAAATTCCATAAAAAAAAGAAAAAAGAAAAAGAAGAAGAAGAAGAAAGAAAATAGAAGGTAACAAAATTCTAAATAATGAAATTTTTTACCCAGTAATTTCAAAGGAATCTATTTTAAAACTTAAAAAAAATTAATGGTAGAGTTCAACATGGTGGCAAGCTATAAAATAAACACATACAACTCTTTCTTATATACCAATATTGTGTATTAAAAATTAAAATTTAAAAATTGACCAAGTTAAAAAATCCCAAAACTGGTTCAATTATTTATATAACAATTGAATTGACAAAGGTAGGATTTGCAATTAGTATGTAAAAGATTAATAACTAACAGTAGGATGGCCAAATAGGAGCAGCTCCAGTCTACAGCTCCCAGCATGAGCAATGCAGAAGATGGGAGATTTCTGCATTTCCAACTGAGGTACCAGGTTCATCTCACTGGGGCTTGTCAGAAAATGGGTGCAGCCCACCGAGTGAGAGATGAAGCAGGACGAGGCATCACATCCCTGGGGAAGCACAAGGGGTCAGGGAATTCCCTTTCCTAGCCAAGGGAAACTGTGACACACGGCACCTGGAAAATCAGGTCACTCCCACCCTAATACTGCGCTTTTCCAATGGTCTTAGCAAACTGCACACCAGGAGATTATATCCCACACCTGGCTTGGAGCGTCCCACACCCACAGACCCTCGCTCATTGCTAGCACAGCAGTCTGAGATCGAACTGCAAGGCAGCAGCGAGGCTAGGGGAGGGGCGTCTGCCATTGCTGAGGCTTGAGTAAGCAAACTAAGTGGCCGGGAAGCTGGAACTGGGTGGATCCCACCACAGCTCAAGGAGGCCTACCTGTCTCTGTAGACTCCACCTCTGGGGGCAGGGCATAGCTGAACAAAAGGCAGCAGAAACTTCTGCAGCCTTAAGTGTCCCTGTCTGATAGCTTTGAAGAGAGTAGTGGTTCTCCCAGCACGGAGTTTGAGATCTGAGAACAGACAGACTGCCTCCTCAAGTAGGTCCCTGACCCCCGAGTAGCCTAACTGGGACGCACCTCCCAGTAGGGGCCAACTGACACCTCACACACCATGGTGCCCCTCTGAGACAAAGCTTCCAGAGGAACGATCAGGCAGCAACTATTGCTGTTCTGCAATATTTGCTGTTCTGCAGCCTCCGCTGGTGATACCCAGGCATACAGGGTCTGGAGTGGACCTCCAGCAAACTCCAACAGACCTGCAGCTGAAGGTCCTGACTGTTAAAAGGAAAACTAACAAACAGAAAGGACATCCACACCAAAACCCCATCTTTACATCACCATCATCAAAGACCAAAGGTAGATAAAACCACAAAGATGGGGAGAAACCAGAGCAGAAAAGCTGAACATTCTAAAAATCCAAGCACCTCTTCTCCTCCAAAGGAATGCAGCTCCTTCCCAGCAATGGAACAAAGCTGGATGAAGAATGACTATGACAAGTTGAGAGAAGAAGGCTTCAGACGATCAAACTTCCCTGAGCTAAAGGAGGATGTTCGAACCCATCGCAAAGAAGCTAAAAATCTTGAAAAAAGATTAGACAAATGGCTAACTAGAACAACCAGTGTAGAGAAGTCCTTAAATAAGCTGATGGAGCTGAAAACCATGGCACGAGAACTACATGACACATATAAAAGCTTCAGTAGCCAATTTGATCAACTAGAAGAAAGGGTATCAGTGATTGAAGATCAAGTGAATGAAACAAAGTGACAAGTTTAAAGAAAAAAAAGTAAAAAGAAATGAACAAAGCCTCCAAGAAATATGGAACTATGTAAAAAGACCAAATCTACGTCTGATTGGTGTACCTGAAAATGACAGGGAGAATGGAACCAAGCTGGAAAACACTCTTCAGGATGTTATCCAGGAGAACTTCCCCAACCTAGCAAGGCAGGCCAATATTCAAATTCAGGAAATACAGAGAACGCCACAAAGATACTCCTCGAGAAGAGCAACTCCAAGACATAATTGTCAGATTCACCAAAGTTGAAATGAAGGAAAAAATGTTAAGGGCAGCCAGAGAGAGAGGTTGGGTTACCCACAAAGGGAAGCCCATCAGACTAACAGTGGATCTCTCGGCAGAAACTCTACAAGCCAGAAGAGAGTGGGGGCCAATATTCAACATTCTTAAAGAAAAGAATTTTCAACCAGAATTTCATATCCAGCCAAACTAAGCTTCATAAGTGAAGGAGAAATAAAATCCTTTACAGACAAGCAAATGCTGAGAGATTTTGTCACCACCAGGCCTGCCTTACAAGAGCTCCTGAAGGAAGCACTGAACATGGAAAGGAACAGCCAGTACCAGCCACTGCAAAAACATGTCAAATTGTAAAGACCATTGATGCTAGGAAGAAACTGCATCAACTAATGAGCAAAATAACCAGCTAACATCATAATGACAGGATCAAATTCACACATAACAACATTAACCTTAAATGTAAATGGGCTAAATGCTCCAAGTAAAAGACACAGCCTGGCAAATTGGATAAAGATTAAAGGACCATTAGTGTGCTGTGTTCAGGAGCCCCATCTTACGTGCAGAGACACAAATAGGCTCAAAATAAATGGATGGAGGAAGATCTACCAAGCAAATGGAAAACAAAAATAGTGGAGTTGCAATCCTAGTCTCTGATAAAACAGACTTTAAACCAAGAAAGATCAAAAGAGACAAAGAAGGCTATTACGTAACAGCAAAGGGATCAATTCAAGAAGAAAAGCTATCTTAAATATATACACACCCAATACAGGAGCATCCAGATTCATAAAGCAAGTCCTTAGAGACCTACAAAGAGACTCAGACTCCCACACAATAATAATGGGAGACTTTAACACCCCACTGTCAACATTAGACAGATCAATGAGACAGAAAGTTAACAAGGATATCCAGGAATTGAACTCAGCTCTGCACCAAGCAGTCCTAATAGACATCTACAGAACTCTCCACCCCACATCAACAGAATATACATTCTTTTCAGCACCACACCACACCTATTCCAAGACTGACCACATAGTTGGAAGTAAAGCACTCCTCAGCAAATGTAAAAGAACAGAAATTATAACAAACTGTCTCTCAGACCACAGTGCAATCAAACTAGAACTCAGGATTAAGAAACTCACTCAAAACTGCTCAACTACATAGAAACCGAACAACCTATTGTTGAAAGACTATTGGGTACATAACTAAATGAAGACAGAAATAAAGATGTTCTTTGAAACCAATGAGAAAAAAACACAAGGTACCAGAATCTCTGGGACACATTTAAAGCAGTGTGTAGAGGGAAATTTATAGCACAAAATGCCCACAAGAGAATGCAGGAAAGATCTAAAATTGACACCCTAACATCACAATTAAAAGAACTAGAAAAGCAAGAGCAAACACATTCAGACACTAGCAGAAGACAAGAAGTAACTAAGATCAGAGCAGAACTGACGGAGATATAGACACAAAAAACCCTTCAAAAAATTAATGAATCCAGGAGCTGGTTTTTTGAAAAGATCAACAAAGTAGATAGACCGCTAGCAAGACTAATAAAGAAGAAAAGAGAGAAGAATCAAATAGATGCAAAAATGATAAAGGGGTTATCACTACTGATCCCTCAGAAATACAAACTACCATCAGAGGATACAATAAACACCTCTACGCAAATAAACTAGAAAATCTAGAAGAAATGGATAAATTCCTGGACACATCCACCCTCCCAAGACTAAACCAGGAAGAAGTTGAATCCCTGAATAGAGAAATAACAGGTTCTGAAATTGAGTCAGTAATTAATAGCCTACCAACCAAAAAGTCCAGGACCAGAAGGATTGACAGCCGAATTCTACCAGAGGTACAAGGAGGAGATGTTACCATTCCTTCTGAAACTATTCCAATCAATAGAAAAAGAGGGACTCCTCCCTAACTCATTTTATGAGGCCAGCATCATCCTGATACCAAAACCTGTCAGAGACACAATAAAAAAAGAAAATTTTAGGCCAATATCCCTGATGAACATCAACGCAAAAATCCTCAATAAAATACTGAAAAACCTAATCCAGCAGCACATCAAAAAGCTTATCCACCACGATCCAGTCAGCTTCATCTCTGGGATGCAAGGCTGGTTCAACATACGTAAGTCAATAAATGTAATCCATCATATAAACAGAACTAAAGACAAAAACGACATGATTATCTCAATAGATGCAGAAAAGGCCTTTGACAAAATTCCACACCCCTTCATGCTAAAAACTCTTAATAAAGTAAGTATCGATGGAATGTATCTCAAAATAATATGAGCTATTTATGACAAACCCACAGCCAATATCATACTGAATGGGCAAAAACTGGAAGCATTCCCTTTGAAAACTGGCACAAGACAGGAATGCCCTCTCTCACCACTCTTATTCAACATAGTGTTGGAAGTTCTGGCCAGGGCAATCAGGCAGGACAAAGAAATAAAAGTTATTCAATTAGGAAAAGAGGAAGTCAAATTGTCCCTGTTTGCGGATGACATGATTCTATACTTAGAAAACCCCACCGTCTCAGCCCCAAATCTCCTTAAGCTGATAAGCAACTTCAGCAAAGTCTCAGGATACAAAATCAATGTGCAAAAATCACAAGCATTCCTATACACCAATAACAGACAGAGAGTCAAATCATGAGTGAACTCCCATTCACAATTGCTTCAAAGAGAATAAAATACCTAGGAATCCAACTTACAAGAGATGTGAAGGACCTCTTCAAGGAGAACTACAAACCACTGCTCAATGAAATAAAGAAGACACAAACAAATGGAAGAACATTCCACGCTCATGGATAGGAAGAATCAATATCGTGAAAATGGCCATACTGCCCAAGGTAATTTACAGATTCAATGCCATCCCCATCAAGCTACCAATGACTTTCTTCACAGAATTGGAAAAAACTACTTTAAAGTTCATATGGAACCAAAAAAGAGCCCACATTGCCAAGACAATACTACGCAAAAAGAACAAAGCTGGAGGCATCACACTACCTGACTTCAAACTATACTACAAGGCTACAGTAACCAAAACAGCATGGTACTGGTACCAAAACAGAGATATAGAGAAATGGAACAGAAGAGAGCCCTCAGAAATAATACCACACATCTACAAACATCTGATCTTTGATAAAACCTGACAAAAACAAGAAATGGGGAAAGGATTCCCTATTTAATAAATGGTGCTGGGAAAACTGGCTAGCCATATGTAGAAAGCTGAAACTGGATCTCTTCCTTACACCTTATACAAAAATTAATTCAAGATGGATTAAAGACTTAAATATTAGACCTAAAACCATAAAAACCCTAGAAGAAAACCTAGGCAATACCATTCAGGACATAGGCGTGGGCAAGGACTTCATGTCTGAAACACCGAAAGCAATGGCAACAAAAGCCAAAATAAACAAATGGGATCTGATTAAACTAAAGAGCTTCTGCACAACAAAACAAACTACCATCAGAGTGAACAGGCAACCTACAGAATGGGAGAAAATGTTTGCAATCTACCCATCTGACAAAGGGCTAATATCGAGAATCTCCAAAGAACTAAAACAAGTTTACAAGAAAAAAATCAAACAACCCCATCAAAAAGTGGGTGAAGGATATGAACAGCCACTTCTCAAAAGAAGACATTTATGCAGCCAACAGACACATGAAAAAATGCTCATCATCGACTTGAGGCAGTTCCAAGATGGCCGAATAGGAACAGCTCCAGTCTACAGCTCCCAGCCAACAGACACAGGAAAAAATGCTCATCATCACTGGCCATCAGAGAAATGCAAATCAAAACCACAATGAGATATCATCTCACACCAGTTAGAATGGCGATCATTAAAATCAGGAAACAACAGGTGCTGGAGAGGATGTGGAGAAATAGGAACACTTTTACACTGTTGGTGGGACTGTAAACTAGTTCAACCATTCTAGAAATCAGTGTGGCAATTCCTCAGGGATCTAGAACTAGAAATACCATTTGACCCAGCCATCCCATTACTGGGTATATACCCAAAGGATTATAAATCATGCTGCTATAAAGACACATGCACACGTATGTTTATAGAGGCACTATTCACAATAGCAAAGACTTGGAACCAACCTAAATGTCCAACAATGATAGACTGGATTAAGAAAATGTGGCACATATACACCATGGAATACTATGCAGCCATAAAAAATGATGAGTTCATGTCCTTTGTAGGGACATGGATGAAACTGGAAACCATCATTCTCAGCAAACTATCGCAAGGACAAAAAACCAAACACCGCATGTTCTCACTCATAGGTGGGAATTGAACAATGAGAACACATGGACACAGGAAGGGGAACATCACACACCGGGGACTATTGTGGGCTGGGGGGAGGGGGGACGGATAGCATTAGGAGATATACCTAATGCTAAATGACGAGTTAATGGGTGCAGCACACCAACATGGCACATGTATACATATGTAACAAACCTGCACGTTGTGCACATGTACCCTAAAACTTAAAGTATAATAATAATAAAATTAAAAAAAGAAAAAGAAATGGTAGCCAAACCTAGCAATTTCATAAGACGAATATGCTTATCTTCCTAGATTATCAACTTTACTCAATGTTAAGTCATTTTAAATAGTCTATTAAAACAAATATATACCATGGGGAAAAAAAAAAAAGAAAATGTGGCGCATATACACCATGGAATACTATGCAGCCATAAAAAAAGGAAGAGTTCATGTCCTTTGTAGGGACATGGATGAAGCTGGAAACCATCATTCTCAGCAAACTATCTCAAGGACAGAAAACCAAACACCGCATGTTCTCACTCATAGGTGGGAACTGAACAATGAGAACACTTGGACACAGGATGGGGAGCATCACACACCGGGGCCTGTCGTGGCATGGGGGGAGGGAGTGAGGGATAGCATTAGGAGATAGACCTAATGTAAATGGTGAGTTAATGGGTGCAGCACACCAACATGGCACATGTATACATATGTAACAGACCTGCACGTTTGTGCACATGTACCCTAGAGCTTAAAGTATAATAATAAAAAAAAGAACTTCTAATTTACAAGAAAACACAGTCCAGTGGATATGTGAACTAATACTACAGGGATGCAATCAGCAAAATCCAGGCTATGGAAACTATAGGACAAATGATTCAATTTCCTAAACGAATGAATTACAAGGAGAAGAGAAGAGATGGAGGAGGAATCTATAGATTAAAAGAAATTTCAGAAACCTGAACCAATCCAACATGTGGATGCAATTTGTCTCCCGATTCAAACAAACTAACATTTATGAGACAATTAAGGCAAATTTGGACCTGGTAATATGATAATATTAAACATTATTAATTGTAAAAGGTATAATATTGGAATTGTAATTTAAGAAAAGAGAAAAAATAACTAATAGTAAGATAATAGCCAAACATTTGGGAAAGTACAAAGTTATATAACCTAAAGGAAAATTAATTACATATAGATGAAAAATCAAAATGTAAAACAAAAAAAATTACTAAAACAATTATAAATAAAAATTTAACCTTGGATTATATAAGCTGTTTCTAAAAGAAAACAAAAAAAATTAAATGTTGATTATGCTCATCATTTATGAGTTTTTAGAATGTCTAAACAAACACCATAAACAATATTGAAAGTTCAAATGACAAAGTTTATATATGGCGAAGACTTAATATTTATACCATCTATAAAAAGATGATCACTGTAATTTAAAAATGCTCAAAAGGCATAAAGAGACAATCTATAGAAGATGAAATAGAAATGATTCATAAGCATATGAAACATAAAAAAATCCAACTCCACAAATAGTCAAATAAATGCACATAATAATGGCATTTGAGGGTCTTGTTAGTTTTTTCTTTTCCAATTGCAAAGAAATTTTAAAAGAGATTTTTACATGAAAACAGTATTTTCCAAAGATCTCAGCAAAGTGGCCACTCTTTGATATTGCTAATTTGTGAAAAAACTTTCTGGAAGAAAATTTGAAAATATGTATTCTTAAAAGCTTAAAATGAGAAGACCATCTGACTCATTTCAGATAAGAAAATAATTAGACAAATGTATTTGAGGTTTATCCCATAATAAAATTGTTTATAATGGAAAATTAGTATAATGCTAAAGTCAAATAGTGGTTGAATAAATTGTAGTAAAGTGTGTTCATGTCACGAACTATAATAATGTCTGCCTAAACATACAGTGTGGGTATTTATTGACTGGAAACATGTTTACATATAGGTTTAAATATGTAAAACATGTTTACAATAGGTTTAAAACAGAAAGAATACAGCATAATGTTAACTGCTTATCCCAGGTTGAAGAAATATGGTTGGATATTTATTTGCTTCAGATTAGTTTATTTATGTTTTCTAATTTGTCCTCAGTAATCATGTGTCAGTTGTATAATAATCCTTCTAACGCTTCTGAAAATTCACTTCAGTGATATAAATTACTTCTATTCATAAAAGTTACCCCAGCACTGGAGAGAAATATGTATGTACAACCTTCATTGTTTTAAAAGAAACAGAAGGAACAGCTCCCATAGTTATATATACTATGCTTAAGGCATACTCTCACTCCCTGTAAATTCTTTCACGGTAAGTATTCAAAAATAAGAGAAGAAAGAAGGGAATAAAGAAAAAGTGAACACAGGTCTAGTCACAACCCTGCCCTGTTTAACACCTATCAGATCTCTATCCTTCAGTGGTTCTGAAGCAGGGATGGTATCACTCCAAGGGCTTTGGAAATACTGCCTGGAGGGCCTTTTCTGGTTGTCCCAATGGCTGGTCAGCATGACTAACACTTTGTGGGTGAACAGAAGAAAGCCTATCCTGCCCTGCAATGCTTGGAAAGGCCAGAACAAGTAAGAATTGTCCTGCCCAAGATGTGAGCAGCATTCTCCAGTTGAGATATCCTGCTTAACTAAACCTCTTTGTAAGTAAACTTCAAGGCCTTCACTCCCCAGCCCCTGCCTGTTTCTCTAATCTCACCTCTTTCAGCTTCCCTTCCTATTTTACACCCCTTTCTCCCACCTCTATTCTTTTCCTTTCTCCTCTGCTCCATGCCTTAGCCATACCAAATTGCTGGCAATTCTCATAGAGCACCAAGAAGTATTATGCTTCTCAGCTTTCATTTGGCTTAGATTATTTGCTCTGCCTAAATTATTCCTGAGCTGATCCTTTAATAATGCCCTATTTATTCTTGAAGACTCATCTTAATCATCTCTTTTGCAGAGCCTTTTTTGGGTCATGGATTTCTCCCCTGTTTTGCCCTGTTACTTGAATACATCTTCATTACAATACTTAAACTTAAAACTAAATACTTAATACTTAATTAACTTAAAAACTTAAAACTTAATACTAAATACTTAAAACAATGTACAGTATTTATTTTTTGTCTATATCCTCCCACTTTACTCAACAAGTTCTTGTTGGCTGAGAAAAAAAAGGTACATTGAAAGCACCATCTCTTTTTGCTGCCATTGAAAAAAGTAGAGAGAAAATAAATTCAATCAGTAAAAGAAGAGAATGTAGAGAGAAAATAAATTCAATCAGTAAAAGAAGAGAATAAAGGTTGATTTCTACCTTCAAATTATTTACATTTAATAAATATAATGTTTAGTATCTGCTTTCCAATTATTTACCATTGCAGTATATTACCATCATATAAAGTGATTTGAAGAAATTGCAAGAAAATATATGTTTATTTGCTCCAAATTTGCTCAAAGGCCTAAATGCTAAGAAATCCAGATTTGTGTATTGGTACATGATATATATGTGTATCATGCTATTTGTAGTATAGTTTATTCTATTATAATGTAGATTTACTGGCAAATGCAAAGTAAGTTTAGGTTAAGATGAAATTCCAGTAGTATTAATGATTGATGGCCAAAGGATTTCCAAGGGATTCCTTTTTACTGACAGCAGAATCTTCTTCCTGCTTGCAGAACATATGGTATGTTAATAGTGATCACTGACTTCAGGTGATTTTATACAGGAACATATTGAGTAATTTAAAAATTAAGAGTCAGGGCTGGGCTCGGTGGCTCACACCTGTAATCCCAGCACTCTGGCAGGCCGAGGCAGACAGATCATGAGGTCAGGAGATCGAGACCATCCTGGCTAACACGGGGAAACCCCGTCTCTACTAAAAATACAAAAAGTTAGCCAGGCGTGGTGGCGGGCGCCTGTAGTCCCAGCTACTTGGGAGGCTGAGGCAGGAGAATGGCATGAAGCTGGGAGGCAGAGCTTGCAGTGAGCCCAGATCACACCACTGCACTCCAGCCTGGGCAAGAGAGTGAAACTCCATCTAAAAATAAAAATAAAAAAGAGTCAGGCGGCCAGAGACAGGGACCTCATTTTAGTTTTAAAGCTAAATGTTTTTCTCTTTCCATTAGTATAAAATGTTTCAAAATATACTATTTAGTCATTTACTAATAGGGAACATATTAGTTGTACTCACATTTTAGGAGACAAATACAGTTCCTTAATCTAAGTAACAAATTGAAATAATTAAAACATAAGATTTATGAAGGGAATATCACAGCTATCTAATGTTTCAGCTACCTATTTTATCTCACATCACAGACATCACTTTTTTCCCTTGAAAATTATATAACTACAATGCACTAAGCATGCTGTATGTTACTGTGACAGATACAAAAAATAAGAATTCAAAACCTTCCTTCTAATAATTCAGACTTTAGTAGGAGGGAGGAAACTAATATATAGATAAAGTATAGATAAGGTATAAGAAAGGTAATGACACTTGGGCCGGGTGTGGTGGCTCACACCTATGATCCCAGCACTTTGGGAGGCCGAGGCGGGCTGATCACCTGAGGTCAGGAGTTCCAGACCAGCCTGACCAACATGGTGAAACCCCGTCTCTACTAAAAATACAAAAATTAGCCGGGCCTGGTGGCAGGTGCCTGTAATCCCAGCTACTCAGGAGGCTGAGGCAGGAGAATCACTTGAACCCAGAAGACAGAGGTTGCAGTGAGCTGAGATTGCACCATTGCACTCCAGCCTGGGGGACAAAGCAAGACTCCATCTCAAAAATAAATGAATAAAAAATAAAAAAAAGAAAGGTAATGACAATTCAGAGGAGAAAGAACCTTCTGGCTACAAGAGATACAATATCTGAGATGAAAATCAAAAGATGAGCAAGTTTTGGACTGATTGATGTAAATGAAGAATGTGACAGATTAAAAAGAAACAGTTCATAAAATCATAACAATTTCACAAAGAGTAAATTATTTTATTTGAAAGTTGTGATATATCAGTTATTTATTTGAAAAATTATGAATGGGATTTCTCCTTTCAGTCAAAATAGAGTAATAGGGACTGGATTTACCTGCCCGCCTAAAACAATAAAAAATCAGCAAATACTTGAAACGATGATGTTTAAGACATTCTATCAATCAACAAAAGACAGTGATCCATGAGAGATAGGAAACAAAGTGAGCCAGTTGCCCCAGCTTACTGCCATGGGAGGGCGAATTTATAGGCCTTGGCACAGGGAGGGAGAACTTAGACAGTCCAGCAGATTTCCTGAGCTGAGACAATGCAGCTGAGGATCTGGGGGAATAAAGGTAACTAGAGCTTGAAGGACAGAAAAACAGAGAAGAGAAAACTGCACAGAAAACAACTCTTGAGCCCTTTATAGGGCTCAGCAGAGTATTGTTAAGCACATGCATGTTAGGGAACCACCCAAAGCTGGGGAAAGAACTACTCAAAAAGATAAGAAAGAACAGAACTCGCCACTCACACAGGGTCAGAAACATTGTCTGTCATCACCAGTCAGACAGAAAAATCTCACAGTTCAGAGGTTATCAGGTAGAGTACTCAGAATGGTCTTACCTAAGAGTAGAGAACAATTAGTCTTAACTTATACATGAATCTAGTCCTGCCTAACAAATCTTAAAACCAAGACTCCAAAGGATCAAACTATTTCCTAAGTAACTTAGCACCCCAGAACAAGTCTCAATAATATTTTTAGGATTATAAAAATATCCAGCACCTAACAGCATGAAATCCACAGTGCTTGGCATCCCATTACTAGACATAAAAAGAAAGAGAAAAATGTAATGAATAATAAGGGGGGAAAATCAATCAAAACCAGAACTGATACTGATGTCAGCCACAGAAGACAAAGATATTCAAACTGTTAATATAACTATTTCATATGGTCAAAAGCTACGTAGAGATGAAGAAAATATATAACAAACACAAGAAGTCAAACTCTTAGAGATGAAAACTATAATGTGTGATATGAAAACTATGCTGGGTAGAATAAATGGTAGATTATACATTGTAGAGAACAAAAAATAGCAAAATTAAAGGCATGGCAATAGAAACTATCCAAAATTTTACATAAAGGAAAAAGAGAACAAATAAATAGTATATCTATGAACTGTGAGACAACTTAAAGTAGCCTAGTATATCTTTAAAGGAAGACCCCAAATAATAGGAGAAAGAAAAAAGACAAAAAAACTATTTCAAGAATAGCTGAAAATGTTCCAAATTTTATAACTATAAACTCACAGATATAAAAATATTAATGAACCCCAAACATCATAAACATAAAGAAAATGAGCAGCTGTGGTGGTTCACACCTGTAATCTCAGCACTTTAGGAGGCCAAGGCAGGCAGATCATTTGAGCCCAGGAGTTCAAGACCAGCCTGGGCAACATGGCGAAACCCTGTCTCTACAAAAAATACAAAAGAATAAACCAAGCATGGGTGTGGTGGTGCACACCTGTGGTCCCAGCTACTTGGAAAGTTGAGATGGGAAGATCACTTGAGCCCAGGAGGTTGAGATTGCAGTGAGCCATGATTGCACCATTCCACTCCAACCTGGGCAACAGAGCAAGACCCTGTCTCCAAAAAAAGGAAAGAAAAAGAAAATTACACAGACACACATTGTAATCAAATTGCTCAAAATCATTGACAAGAGAAAGTCCTAAAACCAGCCAAAGAAAAGAGACACATTACATGCAGAGAAAGATAAAGTGGACAGCATATTTCTCATTAGAAACAATGCAATTGTGAAGACAATGGAGCAACATCTTTAAATTACTGAAAGAAGAAAAAACTGTCAACCTATAATGTTATAGCCAGCAAAATCATTTTTTGCTGAAATAAAGTGAAAATATGTCAGACATATAAAAACTGGATGAACTAACTGCCTCCAGAAACATTCAAGCCTTTCAGACAGAAAGAAAGTAGTACCAAATGAAGATGTGAATCTACACAATGGAATGAAAATCATTGGAAATGAGGATCATATCAGTAAATATATAATAGCTTTTTCTTGTAATTGAAAACAATCATCAATAGTTAACTGTTTAAGCAAAAATAATAATATAATATGAGGTATATGACATATGTAAAAGTAAAATGCTTGACAACACCACCACAAAAACTGAAAAAGGAAAAATGGAAGTATACTATTTTAAAATTCTTATAGTATTATGAAGGGCTATAATATCCCTTGAATGTTAAACTGTGTTAAACTGTGATAGGTTAAAAATGTACACTATAAATCCTAAAGCACCCACTAAAAATAACAAAGAGTTATAGCTAATAAACCAATGAAGGACTAAAAACGGAATTCAAAAAACAAAAAAAATTAAAACACTGCTTATCTTTCTGGCCTAATTACATAACTCCACACTCCCTTTATGCCGTAAACATGAATACACACTCCCAAGTTGACAAAATTCAAAGTAGGTCTCAGAACAGATAAATATTACATAGGATAAAGGAGGCCATTTCGTGATAAATAAGTTAATTCATCAAACAGATAACAATCTTAAAAGTTTATGCACCTAATAAACTTCAAATCATATAAAGCAAAAATTGTTAGAACTGTAAGGAGAAAGAGACGATACTACAATTATAGTAAAAAAAATTCTAATACCTTTGTCTCATTAAGTGGGCAGAAAATCAGTAATATAGAAGATGTGAACAATACAATAAACACAAAAAACAAACCACAGTAAGACCAAGTTGACATTTGCAAACCATCCACTCAACAATAGCAAAATATAATTTCTTTTCTTTTTTTTTTTTTTTTTTTCGGGACGGAGTCTCGCTCTGTTGCCCAGGCTGGAGTGCAGTGGTGCATCTCAGCTCACTGCAAGCTCCGCCTCCCAGGTTCACGCCATTCTCCTGCCTCAGCCTCCTGAGTAGCTGGGGACTACAGGAGCCTGCCACTACACCTGGCTAATTTTTTTTGTATTTTTAGTAGAGACGGGGTTTCACGGTGTTAGCCAGGATGGTCTTGATCTTCTGACCTTGTGATCCACCCGCCTCGGCCTCCCAAAGTGCTGGGATTACAGGCGTGAGCCACCGCTCCCAGCCAATATAATTTATTTTCAAATGATCATGGGACATTTACCAAGATATACCATATTCTGGACCACAGAATAAGTCTCAATTCCTTTTTTAAAATTCCAGTTATACAAGGTTTGTTTTTTGACCTAAATGGAATTAATTTAGAATTAAATAATAAAGATATCTAGAAATCCTCAAATTTTTGGAAACTAAGTAACAGACTTCTAAAAAGACTACAAGTCATTAAAAAATCAAAAGAAATAAGAAAGAATTTTAAACTGAATAAAAATAAAAATATATAAAATATGTGACATACTGCTATGGGTAATATGTGATATACTGCTGAGGGAAATATGCATCCCTAAATGCCAATATTAAAAAAATAGAAAGGCCCACCTTAAGAAAATGAAAAAAGGAAATCAAATGAAACTGGAAGTGAACGGAATAAAGAAAGTGATAAATATCAAAATATAAATCAATGAAAACAGAAGCTGTTTTTTGGAAGATCAATAAAATTGATAAATCTCTATCCAGATTGATTACAGGAAAAAAAGAGAAGACAAATTGGCAATACCAGGAATGAGAGAGGTAACATTGTTACAGCTATTAAGAGAAAAGTAAGGGATGATTGAGAACAAGTTCATACAAATAAATTTGACAATTTAGATGAAATGAACAAATGCCTTTAAAGATACCAAGTTACCAAAACTCCTTGAGAAAAAATAGACATCCTAAATAGTTCTATATCTATTTTTAAAATTGAAAATTATATTAATATTTAATATGGTTTATATTCTGGATGTAAAAAGAAAAAAATTATAGTTAAAATCTTACACACAATAAATTAACGAATTAATCAATTAACTTTATAAACCTCCATGCACCAAAAGCTTCATTGGTAAATTCTACCAAATATTTGAGGAAAATATTATACCAATTCTTTATTATTCCAGAAATAAAAGAAAGAGAAAAGACTTCACTTATTATATGAGGTCAGCCTTATCCTGATACCCAAACCTGAAAAAGACATTGTAAGAAAGCAAAACTACCAAGCATGTGTTTCATGAACATAGATGCAAAAGTTCTAAACAAAATATTAGCAAAGCAAATCAAACATTATATAAGAAAGAATACATCATGCCCAAATGGGGATTATCCTAGAAATGCAAATTTTGTTTCATATTTTATATTGATCAATATAATTCACCACATTAGAAAACTAAAAAAAGAAACACCCAAAACCATAAAGTATGTAAATGGATACACAGAAAGCATTTGAAAAATCTAAACATATTCTTGATTAAAAAGAAAAAAAAATTATTGGCACAGTTGGAATTTAAGATTTATCAACCTAATAAAGGGTATCCATGAAAAACCTATAACTCACATAATTACTGGTGAAAGACTGAATGCTTTCCCTCCTAATCCTAGCAACAAGAATGAAATCCACTTTCACTACTTCTATTCAACCTTGTACTGGAAGTTCTAGCAAGTGCAGTAAGGCAAGATAAATAACAGCATCCAGTTTGGAAAGGAAGTAAAACTGTCATTATTCACAGACCACATGACCATCCATGTAGAAAATACTATGATCTCACCAAAAATCCACTGAACCTAATAAATGAGTTTATCAAGTATGCAGGATAAAACACCAATAGACAATTTTTTTTTCAGACAGGATTTCACTTGTTTGCCCAGGCTGGAGTGCAGTGGTGTGATCGGCTCACTGAAACCTCCAACTCCCAGGCTTAAGTGATCCTTCCACTTCAACCTCCCAGGCAGCTCGGACTACAGGCACGCACCACCACACCTGGCCAATTTTTGTATTTTTAGTAGAGATGGGGTTTTGCCATAATGCCCAGGCTGATGTCAAACTCCTGGGCTCAAGTGGTCCAACTGCCTCAGCCTCCCAAAGTGCTGGGATTACAAGCATGAGCCACCATGACCAGCCAATAGAAAATTATTAATAAACAATATCAATTGTCTAATATTAGCAAGAATCAGAAATAGATATTTTAAAAACATAATTTACAATAGCATCAAAAACTAATACTCAGTAGTAAATCTAAGAAGATATCTAAGATCTCTATATTAAACACTATCAAATATTATGGAGAAAAATTAAAGAAAAGCAAATAAATGAGAAGCATATCACATCAATTAGTTGGAAGACTCAATATTATAAAGATTTCAATTCTTCCCAAAATTAATCTATAAATTCAAGTCAATCATAATTAAAATGCTTATACTTTTTTTCATAAATGGAGTAGCTATTTTTAAAATTTATTTGAAAAGAAGTGCAAAAGGGCAGAAAGAGACAAGGTAATCTGAAGACAAAGAACCAAGCTGGAGGACTTATAATATCAAATATCAAGACCTAAATTTCTATAAAGCTTTAGTAATTATGACAATGTTGTTGGCACAATAATAAATAACAAATATGTGGGGGGAAATGTAGAGAGTCCAGAAACGTTCACATATATAGTTAGTAAACTTATGACAAAGACAACAATGCAAAGAGTGCTAAAGGATGCTCTTTTGAATAATGGTTCTGGGGCAATTGCTGTGTATGTGCCAAAATAATGCATCTGGACCTCTACCTCATATCATGGAAAAATAATTAATTTTAGATGGAGGGCAGGCCTAAATGAGAAGTAAAGCATTTAAATTCAAATATAGGAGAAAAAATTGCAATCTTGGAGTAGGCACAATTTTTCTTTTAAATACGACACTGAAACGCATAAATCAAAAACACTTTTGCAAATGTTAAATTATACTTAATAAAAATTAAGAACTATTTATCTAAAACAACCATTAGGACAATAAAAAGTGAAAATTTGAAATGGGAGAAAAATATTTGCTATACATAGCTAATAAAGGACAACCATCTAGATTCTATGAAAGTCTACAAATCAATCAGACAGAGACAATTCAATTGAAAAGTGGCATAATATTTTAACATACACTACACAAAAGAGGATGGACAGATGACCAATAAACATACGAAAATATCATTAAGTCGTGAAGAAGATGCATATAAAACTATGATGACAAAACACCGTGCACTCACTAGAAAAGCTAAAATGAAAAATAGAGAATATCATTTTTGGCATTTAGTGAGGGTGCGAATCAACTGACATGCTCAAAAATTGCTGGTGGAAGCAAAAAACTAATTCAGCCACTTTGGAAAATGTTTGGCACTATCCATTAAAACTAAACACACACATGCACGCACACACACACACACACACACACATCTACTTTGTGATCTAGCAATTCTTCTAAGTATATATCCAAAGAAAATATATACATATGTTCACGAAAAGATATAAATTAGACTGTTCATAGCAACACTGTATAAACTGGAAACTATCCAAATGCCAACCAAAAATGAATGGATTAATAAATTGTGACATATTCACACAATAGAATACTGTGCAATAATTAGAATAATTGATCTAGAACTACTCATAACAGTATGTGTAAATATCACAAACATAATGTTGAATGGAAGAAACCAGACAAAAAAACAGGGGAAACTAATCAATGCTGTTAGACGTCAAGATTGTGATTATTCTTGGAGGTGGACATGGGGCAGCCTTCTGGGATACTGGTGATATTTTGTTTCTTGATCTGGGTATTGTTTACCTGGCTGTGTTCAGTTAGTAAAAATTCAAAGAGCTGCATAATTATGTATACTTTTTTGGTATTCATACAATAGGTCAATAAATTATTTTTAAAATGTACATAGTGTGTAACTTTGCTTCTGTTTCATATTTTTCTTTAGAATGGATTTTTTAAAGTAAGAATCCTAGGCAGTGGTCTTTTAAAAGTTGAGATTTTTACTCATTATAAATGTTCTTACTGATAACAAGTGACAAATAAATGATAAGAGGGGAAATAACAGATTATTAAACCAATTCTTACAGTTCTAATATATCCCCAAACTTTAGGTAGAAACTATCTCATTTAACTCTCTAATGTTCACATTATAATCATATGAAAGCTACAGAAATAGAAACTTGACAAAGAATCTTGCTGGGAGAATTGGAAAGAGATTCTAGGAATCAAAAATCTTTGCCCTATCATCATTTGATAATTTGCCGACTGACAATATGAAGTGTGGTAGAGCCAGTCTGCCTGGGAACACTTAACAACTCTCCCCTTGCTATCTGGGTGAACTTGTGCAAGTTACTTAACTTCTGTGTCTCAGTTTCCACATCCACAAAATTGGGATGATAAAAACATATATTTCACAATCTTGTTTTGAGGATAAAATGAATTAATGCATGTAAAGCTCTTACAACAGTGGGTTATCCCTATTATCATCTGTTCCACCCGGTTAGAAGAATAACCATAACGTTCCTAGTGAAAGATTTGTACAGTTTTTTTTCACGAAACCATACTTCTTAGTTCGTATTAAGTGTTAAATGGTGTCTGAACACATGCATTTTCCTACTTGTCTTGCATCTTATTGAAAACAGAAATGTCTTCAGGTTTGTGTGTCTAAAACAGATTTAAAATCTATAACAGATTGCCTTATCAAAGAAACTGAAATCTCCCAGCACCAGAAGATTATGTCTGAAAATAAAACTGCTTATGACCACCATCATTTCAAGAAATAATTGCTCTTTCTCAAGTGACTGCAGTTGAAAACCTGACTTTTCACTAAATGTACATGTGCTTTACCTCAAAAACCTATGACATTTTGCTGTGAGTTCAATAGTCTTTAAGTGCTCAGACCTCAAGTGTAAAAACACATTCCCGTTTTCCTCCAGTCTTAAAGACTGACCTGCATGTCTTCTAAATGTGCTCTAAATATCTCTATCTACATGTGGTAGCTTCAAAAAAAGAAATTATCAGAGATCAGCTGAGTAACAGGTATTCTGATAGGGACTTATTTCCATCTTTCAGGTTTTATGAGAATGAAACAAACTTGTGATGCAAATTTCTCCAGTAAATATTATTTGATTATCAAAATTAGATTTCTAACCAATCTTTCAAATTTTACATCAGAAAAAAAAGATGAAGGGAAGAAAGGCAATGTTTATATAGGGAAGCTGAAAGGTTGCTCAGCAATGAGTTCCAGATGCTATCCCCATGAAGACCTTGCTTCCATGGAAGAACTTGTGTCTTTTATGGTATAAGAAGCTCAAGAGGATAAATTTCCTTTCAAAACCAAATAACTCAATCCAGTCAGTAGCTGCAACTTGAAAGAAGAGGATTTGCTTACCCTGTCAGGTTATGTCAATCTACCTAACAAGACTGTGGTGGGGCCAGATTTGTCAGAGAAATCAGACTATCTCAGAGGAATTTGCATGTATGAAATATCAATTTATTATAGGTTCTGCTGCTATTTTAATTCCACTGCTCATTTATCACGATTCAAAAGAATGAGAAGTTTTCTATAACCTCACATATGGAAAACAGCAAAAGTCAGAATTTTTTGGATGGTTTGCTTTTTGAGGCTTTTTCTTAGAGAAGTTTAACAGCTTTATAGTTGCTTGTTAAATAAAAAAATTATAATAGACACAAAATCTGCTTAAATAAGTCAAAGACTTAATTCTACCATTCTAATTTTCTGTGAATTATAACTTTTCTACCATGAGTTTTGTACATATTTTTATATCAAACATTCTTTATGTGATTCTGTTAAAAACAAGACTATTATCAATTTTACAGAGGTGGTAAGTCATTCTGCATTTACTGAGCACAATTCTGTAGAACACTGATGCTCAAAAACTTGTTATTCCTCATACCCGGTGTAATAACTAGAAGACAAAAAAATCTATTAATAGTTATTAATAAATATCTGATTTATGAGGAGATACACACACACACACACACACACACACACACACACACACACACTGTCCTGGAAAAAAGCATGATCTTTGGAGTCACTTAGAGAATCAAAACCCAGCTCTGCCACTTCCAACTCTGTGACCAGAGTAACTCACTTACCTTTCTGAATCTCAACTTCTACTTAGAGACAGTAATGTTTACGCTGCAGGGTTTGGAAGAAAATTCACTAAGTCTGTGTATATTATGCATCTGGAACTCTACCTGGTCCCTAATAGTCTCTCAATAATAGGAAATATTATTTCTGATAACTCGACTTTAATAAATGTTTGTTGAGTACAATTATGTGCCTAGCGTTGTTTAGATACCATGAATCAAGTGACAAACAAGAGTGTTAGAGCCGCAGCCTTCGTGGAGCTTATACTAGTGAGAAAAGAGTCAATGTGTAAACAAATAAATAAGAAAACTTCAGATTCTGATAGCTGCAAATGAAGTAACTGGAAGTGGAGAGAGGCTATTTTGGAGATGTCAGGGAAATGATGATAAGGTAACCCTTGAGCTCAGCCAGACTCAGCCCTGTGAAAACCTGTGGAAAGACCATTGAAAGCAAAGGGGCCAGTGAGCCCAGCCCTGGATCACGAATAAGCATGGCCTGTGCAAGGAGCTGAGAGGAAGCCAGCATGTCTGGAGCATGATAGGCAAAGAAGAGAGTAGAAGATAAGGTCACGAAATAGGCAGAGATCAAACCATGTAGGGCCTGTAGGCCATAGAAAGGTGTTTGAATTTAATTACATATAAAAAGCAAAACTATTGAAGAAGTTCAGACAGAAAAAAAGTGATCTGATTCTAGTAGCTGAATGAGGAATGGACAATAGCAGGGCAAAAGTGGAAAGTGGAAGACCAATTTGGAGGTTACTGCAGTATAACAAATAAACCAAAGATGATGATAGTGTGCCCCAGGATAGTAGTGATGGTGAAGATGAATATAAGAGGGTGGATGACCTATGGGAAAGAGTCCTGTCTCAGCTCTTTAATACTCCAGTTCTTTCAGAGTAAGTACATGCAAAATTTTTCCCATATACACACCCATATATTGTAGATATACAACACCAACGTGTGAACTAATCCGAGTAGATTCCAGAAGTAGCCTGGCACTCCCCCTTCTGCCAGTTCAGCTCTTTTGCTACCCTTCACTCCCACATCAGCACCAGACCAGACCCTCTTACTCCTAGGTTGTGCTTAATATCATAGACCCCATTCCTGCAAAACTGACATCAATCAGAAAAGCCTAGCCACAAGACATGGTTTACATCCTTGGACCTTTCTTGTTTCATTCAACAAGCTTCTGTGGCAATATACAGGATCCAAATGCAAATGGATATGTTATAAGGGAAGAAGGGTGAGTCATAACTGCTTCAACCAATGGCCTCTAAGCCCCAGAACCTTGAGCAGCCAAAAACTTTTTTGTAATATGCAATTTAACAATGTCATCCATAGTTATAACGTTAAGCTTTATAAAAATTGAATGATATAGATGATTTTACACTGGTGTGCTGAGCTGAAGAAGAAATTTTTCCAAGATCAAGAACTAAAATAGTTTTTGATTGCTTTAGTATACTTGGAACACAATATCTCACCTTATCACCTCCATGCATTGTTTTGACCAAAGGTTACATTGTGGAGATCATGCTTACTCTTAGGTTCTGAAAGACCTGGATCTACCTGAGGACCAAAAAAGTGAACACGTTTGCTTTCAAGGACCTGCAAGTTTAAAAAGAAAGCATCTCACCTCCAACAGTAGTTGGTAAATTAGAGTTGGTGGATGATAGCAGCTACCAAGTAAGAAAACAGAACGATGGAAGATGGCTTATATCCGTAGTTTCTGTCAACAGTGCAAGTAGAAGTTTCCATTTTTGTGCAAATACGGGAAGATAATGCTTATTATAAATTAACAAACAACATGCATGCAAAGGAGTTCTTCTACCAGCGTACACTTTAAATATACCTGGAGAGCCTACTGTCTATCCTGCTTTTTCTTTTACTTGTGGACGAACTATACTCTTGTGTTAATATCCTCCTTATACACCATTGTTTTGATGGGTATCCTAAAGAAGAGATGGAGAAAAGTAGAGGTACATAGCTAAGAAGTCCTCTCTCAAAGCAGGTTTAAAAATTAATTTCTTATCATATAGACCCTTTCATTATAGTTTATTTTTACATTCACAGATTGAGATTAATACTTGGGAACTATCATAGGGGGATTAAAATAACAATTTTGGGAATCCTGGCCATGTTACTCTCATATTGTTTGACTCTGACTGGTTTGCATTTGCTTACTTATGAGGCAAGGAGAGAAAAGGGTAGCATCAGTCTGCCTTTAGGTTCATTTCTCCCAGTGGCCAACATGGAATATCTGTATCCACATTTGGATGTTAATATGATCTGTGTTGTTATTTTAAGTTTTATGTACATTAAATAGCAATCCCAATTTTTCAGTTCAATGTCTACTACCCTTCAACTACCAAATACTGAGCTCTTGCTAAAAACTGGAATCTCATCTACATGGTTTAAATATGTTATAACAAAGCAACTTGCAAGTATTTTATAAAGTGAAATCATAGCAGCCATTTTATACTTGAGGAAACTGAGAGTTTAAGTGGCTTATCCAAATACATGCATCTGGTAAATGCAACTGGGCTGAACAACAAAGGAACTTTCTTTTATCCTAGACTGATGAGTATTTGTGGCTGATTATCTCAGCCGGTTAGAGGTTAAAGTTCAGTGTTAATGAGGTCAAAGTCATAAATGTGAACTTTAAGTGGAGGATTTCCCTTGATTCATAAGTGCAAGTTCAACATTTAACCCTAGCCAGTCACAAGGAACAGTGCATGGCTCAATATAAATCCATCACCAGTGCTGGAAGCAATACTCAGAAAACACGTTTCTTGTTAAATAGCCAAAGTCATCTTCTTTTTACAAAACAATAATAAGTTAAACTTACTTTAGTTTATTTAAGCTAGGAAGTCATCTATAGTTTTTAATTTAAAAGCCAGGCAATGGGAAAAGGAAAATCAGAGAATGGTTCAGCTGGATGACACTAGTGGGTCTCTCTCTCATACATCCCTTCATTTGGCAGAGAAAAGAACAAATTAAAATTCATGAGTAGGGATTATTGTGTTATTTTCATGAAGTTTCTAAGCCAGAGACAGACAGCAGAAAATAGAAGTCAATTTTCTAATACCCAGTTTATGATTTTTCTACCAAACTTAGAAGGAATGCATTGTGGCCTCAAGCCTGAAAGAAATGATTTGCTGGCCACCTACTGAATGTGAAGAGCACATAGCTAACCTAGCTTTACATATGAAAGGATGGAGTTTATTGTTTCCCATAGGAAATGGAAAGTTCTGCTATAATCCTTTCTCAATTCCTAGTGAAATTTTCTACTTTTCCCTTAAGCTTATGGAATTTTACATTGAAAATTTTTCTTTGCTTTGTTAGTTTCCCTTTTCTTCTTCTCCAAATTCTAAATTATAGCATTATCTATAAACAATAACCCCAATATTGTCTTTCATCTATAAAACACTAACCAGTCTCTTTCAAAGAATGAGTATTGCTAAAGAATCATGCATGTGGACTTCTGGTTCCAAAATGGAGGCACAGAAGCAAGCTGGCTTCACTGTCCCCAGCAGAAAACCAAAAATAAAAATATAGTGCTGGGATTATCACTAGCATATCCCAGAACTCAAACATGAGAATGAAATACTTCCTGTGGTCACAGAGAAGTATAAAAAAACAAACAAAACTCTGAGTAGATGGTAAGAGAATCAGATTTCTACAACAGTGATGTCCCTCCCAACATTCTGCCCAGCATCAAATGCACACAAAATTTCCTCTCAGCTCATAATTTCTACACTGGAAAAAGTGAGATTGAGGTGGACAGAAAACTTGCCCTCCAGTTTGGTTTCCCTGGCAGGTGACCTGTCCTCACCTTACTCCATAGGAAACCAAATGAGTGCCTGAAGGGAGAAATATCCCTGAGATCAAGCAAAGACCAAGGAGGGAGGTGGGACTACTGTCACCAGTCTTGGAAACTATGCTCTGGAACACAGCCAAAGGAGACACCAAATGGGAGTGGCTGTCCTGCAGCATCATGCTGTAGAGGATTCATGCCACAGGGTCCCTGTGCAGGAATCCCTAGCCAGCCTTCCCACACTACCAAAATACCCCATTTGCAACAATCCTCACTGGGGAAGAGCAACACTCTGATTGTTTATAGAGCCATTATAAACCCGGGCTTAAGGTAAAACCTACAGCCGAAAAAGGAGGTAGTGATCTAGCAATAAAGAATCTGTAAGCAGGGCCGGGCATGGTGGCTCACACCTGTAATCCCAACACTTTGGGAGGCTGAGGTGGGTGGATCACCTGAGGCCAGGAGTTCAAGACCAGCCTGGCTAAACATAGTGAAACCCTGTCTCTACTAAAAATACAAAAAAATTAGCCAGGTGTGGTGGGGGAGCACCTGTAATCCCAGCTACTCCGGAGGCTGAGGCAGGAGAATCGCTTGAACTCGGGAGGCAGAGGTTGCAGTGACCCTAGATCACACCACTGCACTCCAGCCTGGGCAAAAAGAGTGAGACTCCATTTCAAAAAAAAAAAAAAAGAATCTCTAAGCAAATATATCCAATAAAAACCAAAACAAGCCAAACAGAAAAGACTGGAATAAATAATCCTTTAATGCAAAGACATTAGACATATATCCACAAGGGAAAAATGCCCTCTCTAAATGGACAAAACAAGGAACCAGTGCTGACCCTAACAAGATGGCAGTATGTGAGCTCTCTCACCAAGAATTCAAAATACCAGTTTTATTCTGTGTAATCTCCAAGATAACACAGAAAAGCAATTCATAAATTTATCAGAGTCTTCTGCGTGGTCATGTCAAGCCGTGCCTGGGCCTGGAACTGAGCTGCAGCCCCTCAGCTTTGCCCATCACCTCCCAACCATGGACCCCCGCAAAGTGAACGAGCTTTGGGCCTTTGTGAAAATGTGTAAGCCAGATCTGACCATTCTGCACACCAAGGAAATGCACTTCCTGAGGGAGTGGGTGGAGATCGTGGGGGGTAAAGTACCACCTGCTACTCAGAAAGCTAAATGAGAAGAAAATACCAAGGGGAAAAAAAAAACTGATAGTAAGAAGGTGGAGGAAGACTTAAAGGCAGATGAACCATTGTTAGAAATAGATAATCAGTGCCATGAAGAAAAGTCAGCATGGAGACAAGTGATCTCACAACAAGGCCATCTTTACTTTCTGCAGAAAGTGTGCTCAATTGTAGATGGAACAATGGTGAGAGCACACCTGGACAAGGGAGGGGAAGGGGTTCTTATTCCTGATGCACATGGCCCCTGCTGCTGTGTCATTCTCCTATTGGCTAGGGTTAGACTGCACAGGCTAAACTAATTCCAATTGGCTAATTTAAAGAGAGTGACGGGATGACTGGTTTGGCGGGAAAAATGGTTATGGAATGAGTCAGAGTGGAGGATGAGTCAGGGCAGAGCAGGTAATTGGAATGAGTCAGGGTGGAGCAGGTAATCGGAATGAGTCAGAGTGGAGCAGATGATCAAAAAAGGTTGCTTTATGAGGAAGTTAAGTTTAAAAGTAGAAGGCAAAGAATTGAACATACTGACATATTGATTCTTTGAAGAGAAATTTATAACTCATATCTAACATTCCCTCCTCTTGCATTTACCTTACAGCTCTTTCTCTTCAAACTTCTTTAACATGTCTTGGCTTAGTTGTTCTGCTTGATTTTCCAAAAGAAGCAGCTTCTCTGGATAAGGTGTAGGATAGTTAAAGGAGGTTCTAGTAAGAGCCATTTTTATGAGCCTCTGTACCAAACCATGGATGCATGGTATGACACAGCACCCTACAAGAATAAGTAAACCCATTACGGCTGTGAGGGAAGTAAAAATTGAGGCTATTATTCTTTTTCATTTAACGAACCACTTTTCTAGCCATCCTGTAAAATGGTCGTTTACCCCTGAGTTGTTGGCTAACTTATTGGATAGAACAGTCAGACCTTGCAATGTCTTTGTCATACTTTCATCAGGGGCAGTGTTGTTTGGGATGAAGGTGCAACATTGAGTTTTAATTATGACACAAACTCCTCCTTTTTCTGCTAATATCATGACTAAGGCTATCTTATTTTTCCCAAGCCATCTGGCTAGTAGCCCCTAATTATTCAGCTATTCCTTTAACAGCATCTCTAGTGTAATTAATAGATCCCTGTTGGTTGTAATAAATGTAGTTTATCCAATTTACATTTTCTTAATTGTCACCCACTAAAATATTGACTCAAATCCTGCAGCTATATGATTTCGGACTTTAAATTGATCTGGTATTCCCCATGGGACTCTAATTGTGTCTAAATAGACGTGATAGTAGAATGACCCATAAGAGGCTTCTTTTGCTTTACGATGTCTTATTTTTCCTTTCTCTGGTTGATGAAATGCCAAGGTGAAAGGGATAGCCAATTGGACTAAAGAATAAGTCCCACTTGAGTTACTCAGCAGAGTGTTCAGTAAAGGTCCACCATAATACTACTACACATCCACTCAGGGATGAATAAGGGCTGACTGATTGGTAAGCTTTTGAAAATTTTTAAGCTTACTGCATCCCTTCAGGTCTCCAAGGAACACTAAGTTTCCTCCCTGTCGTGATGTTACCAGGGGTCCTTGCTCCCAGAGCTCCCAAGATGGTGGTGGGCCACTTCCAAAATGGCGGTGGGCCACTTCCAAGATGGTGGCAAGCCTCGTGTTCTCTGACCTGGGGTTCTTGGCCTCACGGATTCCAAGGAATGGAATCTTAGGCCATGCAGTGAGTGTTATAGCTCTATTAGAAGCCGTGGGTCACAGAAGAGAACCGTGGAACCCAGTGACTGGTGTTCAGCTTGATTAGGACAAACCCAGGCACTTAGCCATGCAGGAAAAATAGCAAGCCTTTAGCCCGATCGGGAGCGGCAATGGGCGCCTTGCTGGATCAGGAGCACAGCAGACACCCTGCTGGATCCGGAGGGATGGAAGTCAGCAGCGGGTCTGCAACACTGGCAAAACAGCAGTGGTGGACAGCGAGCGAAAGCTCAGCTAGAGCCATAACAAACAAGGACCAGAAGAGTGCAGTTGCAAGATTTAATAGAGTGAAAACAGAGCTCCCATACAAGGAGGGGACCCAAAGGGGATTGCCGTTGCCTGCTAGAATGCCTGGGTTTATGGCCTGATCCTTGTTCTTCCCGCTGTGCTCTCAGGCAATAGATGATTGGCTGTTTCTTTACCTCCTGTTTTTGCCTAATCAGCATTTTAGTGAGCTCTCTGATTGGTCAGGTGTAAGCTCAGTTGCAAGCCCCGTGTTTAAAAGTGGATGTGGTCACCTTCTCAGCTAGGCTTAGGGATTCTTAGTCAGCCTAGGAAATCCAGCTAGTCCTGTCTCTCAGTCTGAGACACTTAGTGAACTTTGTGTTGGGAGATGGAAGCTGGATGGCCCTCGGGGGCTGACCTGCAGGGTGTTGAAATTTGGGATATAGCAGAGAGAGAACTTGGCACAACTTGTTACCGCAGGCTGTAGAATCCTGTAAGAGAGCTGCCATGCAGCCCACGCCCGGTCGACTGGAGGACCGCCCTAGTAGAAAGGGGACAATCTGGGCCTCTGGCCTGCAGTGCACACAAGCATAACAATTGCCTTTGTTTAACATGTGGACAGAACATTTAATCCATTTTAACCAGGCATTTACATCTTTATACCCTGTTTCAATGGCTATGGTTTGCCTTAGGTCTCCTATTTCTACTACTGAGACCTTGCTTTTGTCACTTGGCATGAGGCGAGTCATAGTTTGATTTCATAGGTTTGGGAAAGGGGCAGCCATAGGAGGTGGAGGAGGGAGAACAAAGCATACCTTGAAGAAGCCTATAGGATCCTTTCCAGTGACTTCTGCTCCTAAACCATAGAAGTGCTCTAAAGTGGGGTAAGAGTTGCTAGTGGTAGGAATAGTAATGGATATAAGCACTGGGTAAGGAAAGGAAAGGAAAAGATAGATGGACTAAGCTTTTTTTAGGTTTAATTTGGTAGAGGATTGTCCAGGAACAATGACCCATGATTCTGATGATAATGGCACTTGCTTGACTAGGGTGTGATGTGTCCATCCTTTTCTGCTGTACAAACAGCAATCTCGGTGGTTAGCAGCACAATGCAGGGTCCTTCCCAGGCTGGCTCAAGTTTCCCTTCTTTCCACCCTTTGATGAGAACGTGATCCCCAGGCCGATGCTGATGTACTGGAAACTCCAAAGGCGGCGCCTCTGCTGAAAGACCTCTTGTTTTAAGGGAGGAGAAAGTGGAGGTTAACCCAAGTAAATAATTTCTAAGAAATTGATCTTTTGTTTTAAATGTGGGGACATCAGCAGTGGACTTTATAGTCCTTGGTGCCTTCTTGCTGAGAAATTTTCTTTTTTTTCTTTTTTTTTCAGAAGGAGTCTTGCTCTGTCACGCAGGCTGGAGTCTGGAGTGCAATGGCATGATTTCGGCTCACTGCAAGCTCTGCCTCCCGGGTTCACGCCATTCTCCTGCCTCAGCCTCCCGAGTAGCTGGGACTACAGGCGCCCGCCACCACGCCCGACTAATTTTTTGTATTTTTAGTAGAGACGGGGTTTCACCATGTTAGCCAGGATGGTCTTGATCTCCTGACCTCGTGATCTGCCTGCCTCAGCCTCCCAAAGTGCTGGGATTACAGGCATGAGACACTGTGCCCAGCCTGAGAAATTTTCTTTAGCACCTATTTTTATTAGTTTTTAGACCAAAGAAAGCCAAACACCATTTTATATTTAACAATGCTTCCTGTATGATTTTATACCAGATGAACTAAATTTCACCTTTATATTAGTGTTATTAATGTTAAACTTAATTTTAATGAAACCTTATAGACATATTTATCCAATTTTAATGTCTGACCATAAGGTAAGATTTTTATAGACTCTTTTTAACCATTTATAATTTTTGTTAAAGAGCAGGTTAGTGCTTTAAGAAAAATCTGTTGTGCTTTTATTTTAATGTCCCGTTCACAGAAAAACTGGATACCCCTTTAACTTTAGCCAATATGTTTACACACAGAATTTCCTTTACAATTAACATTTCAAAACTTGCTTAAACCTTTAAAACAAATTTTTTTTTTTTTTTTTGAGATGGAGTCTCGCTCTTTTGCCCAGGCCGGAGTGCAGTGGCGCTATCTCGGCTCACTGCAACGTCGACCTCCCGGGTTCACGCCATTCTCCTGCCTCAGCCTCCCGAGTAGCTGGGACTATAGGTGCCCGCCACCACACCCAGCTAATTTTTTGTATTTTTAGTAGAGATGGGGTTGCACCATGTTAGCCAGGATGGTCTCAATCTACTGACCTCGTGATCTGCCCACCTCAGCCTCCCAAAGTGCTGGGATTACAGGCGTGAGCCACCGCGCCCGGCCAATAAAATATTTTTTTAACCTTTTAATGTAGGTAAAAATCCATATTCTTATGCCTCCTTGTAATCCTTTTACCAAAAATACATTTTACTTTCCTTACACACCTTGCACATAAACTGTTTCTTCAATAGTTTTACATTCAGGAGGCCTAATTACTTTTAAATTATACAACATTTCCCTTTTATAACTTTTTTTCACGACTTTCACAGACAATTCTTCAATGTGCCTCAACTTTTTGACTTGTTGCAAACATCCCTTTCTTTAAACAACCAGTTAATTTGTTTTAGGACAAGAATTTACCATATAATATTCTTTTTACATAAATTCTCCCCCATTTTTTGTTTTCAAAGATAACCATTCTTTTCCAAAGTGAACTTCCTTCATGTCTGTGGACTAGGCTGCCTTAGGCCACAAAATTAGAAGTTAGGATAATACATGTTACACTGTTAACTTTTAGCAAATTTTACTTTTGTTGAAAACTTTGTAAGTTTGGGATTTCAATTATTCTTTGCTATTAGTAAGACTTCGTTCAGTCCATATTAACTTAGAATTGGTATAGATAGCTCCTTCCTGATTCTGTAAGTATTTTAAGGCTTGGCTGAATGCAAACAGCTCACACGTTTGAGCAGACCAACTATTAGGCAATTTTCCTAACTCTGCTTCTACAAGAGTTTCCTTATCACTTACTGAATACCCATTGTGTCTTTTTCCCTCAATCACCCGGGAGGAACCATCTATTGTCCTGTCCTGAAGGGAGTTCCTCCTAGGTCTGGTTGGACCTTTGTATGGTAATCAATTAAGATTTAGATCCCCTGTTAGGAAGCCTGCTGGGTTAAGGGAATTTTCAGTGTTTAATGTTAAATCATCTTTTTCTAACAGAATAGCCTCATACTTTAAGGTTCTTGAGTCAGTATGCTACATTTTTGCTTTTTTTTTTTTTTTTTTTGACTTAGGATAGTTCCAACCTGATGAGGTGTGCTCACAATGAAGTTTCCTCTAAAAGTTATTTTTCTACTTTCTTCTGTTAACAAAGCAGTCGCCACTACAGATTAAATGCATTTGGGCTATCCACAGGTTACAGGGTTAAGGATTTTTGATTAGGAAAGGCTACGGGTTGTCAGTGGCCTCAGTGCTTTCAGGCTACACCCTTGTTTACACTGACAACAAGGTGGTATTGGAATGTTATAGGGTCAAGGAGAAGACCTTCAACTATCAATTATAGGTTTTTAATTTATCCTGGCACTTAAAGGAATAGGGTACACTGTTTTCTCTTTACTACTTCTATCTCTCTCTCTCTCTCTTTGACTCTCTGTCTCTTTCTCTCTGACTTCCTCTCCAAGTTTCTCTTTCCTCTCTGCTGGTCTTTCCCTGCCTCTGCCAGCTGCTTATGCTGCTGTTCCCCCCTCTCCTTCCCCTTCCCCTAGGGGAGGGACCAGCAGGAGTGGAGCTACTCTTTCTTCCCCACAAGAAGAAAGGAAAGGGGAGTTCTGAATATTTTTCTAACTACCAGAGGTTTGTGTAAGGTTCAACCCCCTGAAATTTGTGGAAGTCTCAACCACTCAAACCAGGGGTGCCTTGCCTTGCCTGTCCTGGAAGTCTCAACCCCTCAAACCAGGGATGTCTTGCCTTGCTGCCCTGGAAGGTTGACCTGTTTCCTCCCTTTCCCCATCTGACGGTCCTTTGCACACTTCCCACTCATGTTGTCCTCTCTGGCTGCTCCCCCAAGGAAGAATTAGACCCCTCTTAGCATTGGTATGCCGGTATAAATCCCACAGCAGGATCTGCCCTAAGCCATATGAGGTAGCCACAGAACCGTGGAGAGGACCCACTCACTCCAGCAGTAGGACTTGTCACCATCCACATGAACAATACCATAAGAAGGGTTGTTTGTGATCATTCACGCACACACACACACATTTGGCCCTCCAGAATTTGACCACCAAGGAAGTACTTTACCAGCTCCCATGGTTTCTCCTTCCTTGGTCTGTGCAGAGTCATTACCGCAGTATGTGAGGATCCTTTACCCTACGTTGCTAGCCAGTTTCTTTCCACGTTGCTGAGAGTCCCAGTTTATTCATCACACTGGGTGGATCTCGGTTCCTCACCCCTGAGGCTGCCAAAAACGAGGTAGTGGGGCATGCCTTCTCACAAGAGAGGACTGGAGACCCACCCTAGAGGAGACTGTAATCCTGGACGAGCCCCCAAAATTGTTAGAAATAGATAATCGGTGCTGCAAAGAAAAGTCAGCTTGGAGACAAATGATCTCTTAGCAAGGCTGTCTTTACTTTCTGCAGAAAAGGTGCTCAGTTGCAGATGGAACAATAGCGAGAACACACCTGGGTGGGAAAGGGGTTCTTATTCCTGATGCACGTGGCCCCTGCTGCTGTGTCGTTCCCCTATTGGCTAGGGTTAGACTGCACAGGCTAAACTAATTCCGATTGGCTAATTTAAAGAGAGTGATGTGGTGAGTGGTTTAGCGGGAAAAATGGTTATGGAATAAGTCAGAGTGGAGGAGAAGTCAGGCAGGAGCAGGTAACCGGAACGTGTCAGGGTGGAGCAGGTAATTGGAGTGAGTCAGGATGGGGCAAGTGATCAGAATGAGTCAGGTTGGGGAAGGTGATCATAATGAGTCAGGGTGGGGCAGGTGATCAGAATGAGCCAAGGCAGGCAGGTAATTGGAATGAGTCAGGGTGGAGCAGGTAATTGGAATGAGTCATGGTGGGGCAGGTGATCAGAATGAGTCAGGGTGGAGCAGGTAATCGGAATGAGTCAGAGTGGAGCAGGTGATTGAAAAAGGTTGCTTTATGAGGAAGTTAAGTTTAAAAGTAGAAGGCAAAGAATCGAACATACTGACATATTGATTCTTTGAAGAGAAATTTAGAACTCATATCTAACGCCATCAAGTGAGGAAAGTGATCTAGTTATTGATAATGAAGGTGTGATTGAACCAGACACTGATGCCCCTCAAGAACTGGGAGATTAAAATGCAGAGATAACAGAGGAGATGATGAATCAGGCAAATGATAAGAAAGTGGCTGCTATTGAAGCCCTAAGTGATGGTGAACTGCAGAAAGCCATTGACTTATTCACAGATGCCATCAGGCTGAATCCTTGCTTGGCCATTTTGTATGCCAAGAGGGCAAGTGTCTTTGTCAAATTACAGGAGCCAAACGCTGCTATCTGAGACTGTGACAGAGCCATTGAAATAAATCCTGATTCAGCTCAGCCTTACAAGTGGTGAGGGAAAGCACACATACTTCTAGGCCACTGGGAAGAAGCAGCACATGATCTTGCCTTTGCCTGTAAATTGGATTATGATGAAGATGCTAGTGCAATGCTGAAAGAAGTTCAACCTAGGGCACAGAAAATTGCAGAACATCAGAGAAAGTATGAGTGAAAACGTGAAGGGTGAGAGATCAAAGCAAGAATAGAAAGAGTTAAGAAGGCTCAAGAAGAGCATGAGAGAGCCCAGAGGGAGGAAGAAGCCAGATGACACTAAGGAGCTCAGTATAGCTCTTTTCCAGGTGGCTTTCCTGGGGGAATGCCTGGTAATTTTCCCTGAGGAATGTCTGGAATGGCCAGAATGCCTGGACTCAATGAAATTCTTAGTGATTCAGAGGTTCTTGCAGCCATGCAGGGTCCAGAGGTTATGGTGGCCTTCCAGGATGTGGCTCAGAACCCAGCAAATATGTCACAATACCAGAGCAACCCAAAGGTTATGAATCTTATCAGTAAATTGTCAGCCAAATTTGGAGGTCAAGTGTAATGCCCTTCTGATGAATAAAGCCCTTGCTGAAGGAAAAACAACCTAGATCACCTTATGGATGTCACAATAATACAAAGCAGTGTACCTCTGACCTTCTCATCAAGAGAGCTGGGGTGCTTTGAAGATAATCCCTACCCCTCTCCCCTAAATGCAGCTGAGGCATTTTACAGTGGTTTGCCATTAGGGTATTCATTCAGATAATGTTTTCCTACTAGGAATTACAAACTTTAAACAATTTTTAAACCTTAAAAATATTTAAAACAAATTTAAAGGGTCTGTTAATTCTTATATTTTTTTACTAATGATTTTGGATTTTTTTTGAATTATTGGGCAGGGAAAACATTTATGTATGGAAGATTATTGCTCTAATTTGAGTGAAATAAAAGTTTATTAGTGCGAAGCAAACGTAACTCATTTGAGGATAAAGTTTGTGCTGGATATGTCGTTCCTGAAGCATTTTGACTTGTCTTTTTAAATGCTTTATCTTTTCTTTAAAGAATTATTTTAATAAAACTAATTGGGAACACCAGTATTTCACTAGGACCTGGGTAGGGACTGGAAGTACTTGGCAGGGCAGTAGCAATCTTGTTGTGTTTTATATAACATGCATCCTTGGGCAGGCTGCCCTTAAATCTTACACTGTTGTGAAGGGATGAATTTTTTGTAATGCTGCGGTACAGTTGCAGTACTTAGTTCTGTTCTTGTCCAGTAGATCTAATAAATGTTTCATACTATTTCCATATAGGGAAAATAAGGGAGTACTTTTCTTTGTATATTTCTATGCTTAAAATTCTCTTTCCTAGTCAAAAAATGCCCAACTCTCTGTCTGATTTCTGCTTGTTACATTTTTCTCCCTTACTTTTCTTGGGCTAAAGACAGGTTTTTTCTACCAGCATCATCACTGCTATCATCATTAACAGCATAATTATACAATCATATTTCATGCTGAGTTTAATTTAATATGTAATACATACGTGAATTGTAAGATAATACCCAAAACAACTAGTTTCTTACTTGGCCATGAGAATGCTTACTTAAGTTTTAGAGTTCAACTCTGGCAAAATCTTGTCATATCAAAAGACATTGGAAAGAGGGATTCCCTTTGATGTTTGGTCTTCTACTTAGAAAATACCTATTGCAGTAAGAGTTTATCTTGCAGTATTCATCTTTGTATTTTGAAGATAATAAGGTTTGAATTAAATTGATATATACAGAGGGGAACCAATTTTTTTGATCCAATGTGAATTATAAATGAGATAATCCACATTCATTGTGGAGTTGTTGAGACTATGAAAGACTCATTGTCTTTGTATTCAGCTCTTCCTTAAATAGTGTAACCATACCCCCACCTCTGCTTGCTTTCTTTCCCTCCCCTCCAATGAGAAAGAAAATTATAAATAAAAACATAAATTTATCAGAGAAATTTAACAATGAGATTGAAATAACTGACAAAAAAATCAAACGGAAATCTTGGAACTCAGAAATATATTTGCTGAATTAAAAATTCATTAGAGGCCCTCAATAGCAGAATGGATCAAGCAGAGGAAAGACTCAGTGAGCCCAAAGAAAGGCCCTGTATATTTGAGAATACACAGGGGAGAAAAGAGAATGATAAGGAAAAAAGACCACCTGCAAGATACAGACAATTACCTCAAAAGAGCAAATTTAAGAATTATTAGTATTCAAGTGGGAGATGAGCAAGAACAAGGGGTAGAAAACTTATTCAAAGAAATAACAGAAGATGTTCTAAAATGTGAGAAAGATATAAATATCCAGGTTCAGGAAAGTCAGAGAACACTAAACAGATTTGACCCAAATAAGACTACTCCTAAGTATGCAATAATCAAACTCTCAAAGGTCAAAGATAGAGAGAGGATCCTAAAAGCAGTAAGGGAAAATACACAAATAGCAAAAGAGGTACAATTCATCTGGCAACAGACTTCTCAATGGAAACTGTACATGCCAGGAGGGAGTAGAATGACATTTTCTAAGTGCTGAAAGAAAAACCTTCCATCAAAAATACTGCATGCAGCAGTCATTCTTCCAATATGAAGGCGAGATAAGGTATTTCCCAGACAAACAAAAGTGCAGAAAATTCACCACCTTCAGACTCATCTTATAAGAAATGCTTAAAGGGAGTTTTTCCTGCAGAAAAAAAAGAAAGAAAGAAAGGGAGAAAAGAAAAAGAAAGAAAGAAAGAAAGAAAGAAAGAAAGAAAGAAAGAAAGAAAGAAAGAAAGAGGAAGGAAGGAAGGAAGGAAGGAAGGGAGGGAGGAAAGAAAGAAGAAAGAAAGACCATTAACATGAAAAAAAAGCATTTGAAGGTATAAAACCCACTGACAGAAGGACACAGACAAACACAGAATACTGAATTGCAGTGTACGATCCACTCTTAATTCTAGTATGAAGCCCAAAAGACAAATCTACCAAATAATAATAGCTACAGTAGTCTGTCAAGAGGTAGGTAATATAAAAAAGGTAGACTGAGACAAGTAAAAGTCAAAATTTAGGGGAGATGGAGTTGAAGTGTAGAACTTTTACCTTTTTTTTTCTTTTTACCTATTCTTTTCTTTGTGATCTAAGATAAATTGTTGCCATGCGCAGTGGCTCACGCCTGTAATTCCAGCACTTTAGGAGGCTGAGGTGGGCAGATCACGAGGTCAGGAGTTGGAGACTAGCTTGGCCAACATGGTGAAACCCTGTCTCCACTAAAAATACAAAAATTAGCTGGGCATGGTGGTGGGCGCCTGTAATCCCAGCTCTTCGGGAGGCTGAGGCAGAAGAATCACTTGAACCTGGGAGGCGGAGCCTGCAGTGAGCTGAGATTGCGCCACTGCACTCCAGCATAGGCAACAAGAGCGAAACTTCATCTCAGAAAAAAAAAAAAAGATAAATTGTCACCTCCTTAAAACAACTTACTATACCTACAAGGTATTTTTTGTAAGCCTATTGGTACCCGCAATGCAAGAACCTACAATAGATTTGCTAAAAATAAAAGCAATGAATTAAAACATAATACCAGAGAAAATCACTTAACCACAAAGAAAGACGGAAAGAAGGAAGAGACAAGTTATAAAACAACCAGAAAATAAGCAACTAAATGACAGTAGTAAGTCTTACTTATCAAGAATAACACTGAATATAAATGGACTCAATTCTTCAATTAAAAGCCATAGAGTGAGCCGGGTGCGGTGGCTCACGCCTGTAATCCTAGCACTTTGGGAGGCCGAGGCGGGCAGATCACGAGGTCAGGAGATTGAGACCATCCTGGCTAACACGGTGAAACCTGTTTCCACTAAAAATGCAAAAAATTAGCCGGGTGCGGTAGCGGGCACCTGTAGTCCCAGCTACTCGGGATGCTGAGGCAGGAGAATGGCATGAACCTGGGAGGCAAGCTTGCAGTGAGCTGAGATCACACCACTGCACTCCAGCCTCACTGCAACCTCTGCCTGCCGGGTTCAAGCAATTCTCCTGCCTCAGCCTCCTGAGTAGCTGGGATTACAGGCGCGTGCCACCATGCCCGGCTAATTTTTTGTATTTTTAGTAGAGCCAGGGTTTCACCATGCTGGCCAGGCTGGTCTCGAACTCCTGACCACCTACCTTGGCCTCCCAAAGTGCTGGGATTATAGGCGTGAGCCACCATGACCAGCCAAAAGGTTGTGTTTTTATGAAAGATAAAAAAAGATGATAAGCCTTTAGTTAGTCTAACTAAGAAAAAGAGAGAGATGATACAAATAAATAAAATTAAATAGAAAAGGAGGTATAAGAACTGAGACCACAGAAATACAAAGTATCATTAGAGACTCTTAGGAACAACTATACGCCAACAAATTGAGAAATTCCTGAACACATACAACCTACTAAGATTGAACCATGAAGGAATAAAAAAGTCTCAACAATCCAATAATGAGCAACAAGATTAAGCTGTAATTTAGAATAAGATTCCCATCAAAGAAAAACTCAGGACCTTAGGCCTTCACTGCTAAATTCTACCAGACATTTAAAGAAGAACTAATACCAATTATACTCTAACTCTTCAAAAAAAATTGAAGAGTAGGGAATACTACCAAACTCATTTTGCAAGGCCAGAATTACCCCAATACCAAACCAGACAAGAACACAACAGGACCAAAAAAAAAAAAAAAAAAAAAAAAGAACACTACAGTACAGGACAGTATCACCAATGAACATAGGTACAACAATCTTCAACAAAATACTAGCAACCTGAATGTAATAAGGCATTATAAAGATCATTTACTACGATCAAGTGGGATTCATCCCAGGGGTGCAAGGATGATTCAACATATACTAATCAATAAATGTTATACATAACATTAACAAAACCAAAAGTAAAAACTATATGATGTTTCAATAGATGCCAAAAAAGTATTCAATAAAATTCAACACCCCTTTATGATAAAAGTCCTCATCAAACTGGGTATAGAAGGAACATAACTCAAAATAATAAAGGCCATATATGACAAACCTACAGCAAATATCATACTGAGTGGGGAGAAATTGAAGGTCTTTCCTCTAGGATCTGAAACAAGACAGGGATGCCCACTTTCATTACTTTTATTCAACCTAATACTGTAAGTCCTGGACAGAGCAATTGGGCAAGAGAAAGAAATAATGAGCATTCAAATTGGAAAGGAAGAGCTCAAATTATCCTTGTTTGCTGATGATATATTCTTATATTCAGAGAAACCTAAAAATTCCACCAAAACCTCATAGAACTGACAAATGAATTCAGTAAAGTTGCAGGATACATATCAGCCTAAAAAGTCAGTGGCATTTCTATATGCTAACAGCAATTGATCTGAAAAAGAAAGAAAGAAAAGAATCCCATTCATCAAAGCTCCAAAGAATATAAAATACCTAGATATCAATTTAACCAAAGAAGTGAAAGAAAACTATGAAACACAGATGAAAGAAATTGAGAGGGACACAAAAATAGAAAGACATTTCATGTTCATGGATTGGAAGAATTAACATTGTTAAAATGACCACACTACCCAAATCTATTTACAGATTCAATGCAAATGCCCCATCAAAATACCAATGACACTCTTTACAGAAATAGAAAAAACAATACTAAAGTTTGTATGGAACTACAAAAGACTCCAAACAGCCAAAGCAATCCTGAGCAAAAAGAGCAAAGCTGGAGGCATTTGAAGACACTACCTGACTTCAAAGTTTACTACAAAGCTATAGCAATCAAATCAGTGTGGTACTGGCATAAAAACACAATGGGACAGAATAGAGAACCCAGATATAAATCCATACATTTAAACCCAATTCACCTTTGACAAAGGCACCAAGAATAAATGGGGGAACAATAGTCTCTCTAATAAATGGTGCTGTTAATATTGGATAAGTATATGCAGGTGAATGAAGCTAGACTTAAATCTAAGACCTGAAACTATGAAGCTGCTGGAAGAAAACACTGGGGAAACACTCCAGGACATTGATCTGGGCAAAGATATTTTTGTGTGTGAGATCTCAAAAGCACAGGCAACCAAAGTAAAAATAGACAATTGAGATTACATCAAGCTGAAATGCTTCTGCAGAGCAAAGGAAACAGTCAACAAAGTGAAGAGACAACCCACAGAATGGGACAAAACATTGGCAATCTTTCCATCTGACAAGGGATTAATAACTACACTATAGGAGGAACTCAAACAACTCAATAGCAAAAAACAATAATCCAATTTAAGTAAGAAAAATATGTGAATAGGTATTTCTCAAAAGAAGACATACCAATGGCTAACAGCTATATGAAAAAAAAATTCAAAATCACTAATCTTCAGAGAGATGCAAATTAAAACCACAATAAGATATCATCTCACCCCAGTTAAAATGGCCTTCATCACAAAGACGGGTGATAACAAATTCTGGTGAGAATTTGGAGAAAGAGGAACCCTCATATTGGTGGGAACGTAAATTAGTACAACCACAATGAAGAACAGTTTTGAGGTTCCTAAAAATACTAAAAATAGAACTACCATATGATCCAGCAATTCTACTATTGGGTATATACCCAAAAGAAAGGAAATCAATATATCAAAGAGGCAGCTGCACTCCCATGTTAATTGCAGCATTATTTACAATAGCCAAAATATGGAACCTACCTAAGTACCCATCAGTGGATGAATGGATAAAGAAATTGCAGTATAGATACACAATGGACTATTATTGAGACATAAAAATGAATGAAATTCTATCATTTGCAGCAACATGGATAGAACTGGAGGTCATTAAGTTAAGTAAAATAAGCCGAGCACAGAAATACAAATATCACATGTTCTCACTCATATGTGAGAGCTAAAAAAGTGGATCTTATAAAGATAGATGGTAGATTGGTGGTTACTACAGGCCAGGAAGGTTAGTGGGGAGTGGGAGATGAAGAGAAGTTGATTAACGGGTACAAATATGCAGTTTGATAGAAAAATTAAGACCTAGTGTTCAATAGATCAGTAGGTTGACTATAGTTTATTGATATAGACAATAATCTATTAAACATTTAAAATTACCTAGAAGAGAATAATTCAAGTGTTTCTAGCATAAAAAAGACAAATATTTAAGGTGTTGGATATCCCAAATACACTGATTTGATCTGCACAAGTTATATGAATTGAAAGATCACATGTACTGTGAAAATATGAACACCTATTTTTGCATCAATGAAAAAAAAAATTCCCACCCAAGAAAGAACCATGCATGTCCTTTTAGATTCCTTTGCTTTTTCACATAGAAAATTCTAGAAGTATTCTAGAAAGTGAGTGAAATTTAAAAGTACTGATTTCTAGCAGATGTCTGTCTACGTAGGTGAATTCTCCTTTTCATTTTTCAATTGTATAATTTGGCAGGCAGTTGACAATGACAAACAACAATCATACAGACTAGGCAGCTCTACGGAAAGAAAAATAAATCAAAATCAGAATTCAAACGTTTAGTATATACATAACTTACACTGTTTTCAGCAAGTTAGAGTCACCTTTTTTCCCTCAAATGAACTCAAAACCAGTGAAAAGAAAGGGATTTGATGGTGCTGCAATGCCATTAAGATTTTTGCTTAAATCAGAGTGAAGCTTTACATTTTGCTTTTAAAATTTGACTTCATATCTCCATATACCCAAGTGAAAATTATAAAGTAATTGTGTAGATTTTATTCAGATTTATGATAGCGTTGCTTTAAATTACTCATAAACTTGAAACATCAGGGTCACCCAAAGGGCTTATTAAAACACATTTCACTGGGCCCCCACTCCCAGAGTTTCTAATTCAGTAGGTGTGGTGGTGCTTGAGAATTTGCATTTTTAACAAGTTCCCATGTAAAGCTGCTCCTGAGACCACAATTGGAGAACCACTGATTTGTACTAAGAAAAGTGTGAATTCTTTCTTATTGTAAATAAACACCTTAACACTAATCATTTGACAAGAATCAGATTTGGCTTCTATAACCATCTGGAGGAAATTACCGTACACAATTGTACTTTGCTTCTTTTTGACAAAGTCACTTGGTCTAGGTGAGCTTCAGGTTACTGATTCCCAGCCAGATTGTCAAATCTAATCCCAAATACTAGGCTACTTAAAAAATACAATAAAATGTTTATAAATGCAGTTGATCTCGTGAACACCCAACAAGTGTCCCTGGGAACTAACAGTTCATTGCTCAAATTATGAAAATGATTTATAATTTTCATAATATGCAATTATGAATACTAAAAGAAAGAAGAAACAAACTCTCAGCAGTTTTGTTTTACGAACTGCCTGGGTGGTATCGTTCATTCAGCCTTGTTCTCATCCTGGATGAAGTCAGAGGCACTTTGCCAAGTAGTCAAAATAAATATTAGCAAGGTTAGAAAGAAGGAAATAACAAAGAAAAACTTATGTAAATAAGTGCCTTGTAGTTACTTGCAATATTGCTGCAGTCTTTAGGCATAATAGACATAGTCCCAGCTTTGCTTCCATTTAAAAGAAAAGTTTCTGAATTGTAAATATAAATCATGCTCATTTACTTCCACCGTGACAGTGTCTGCCTCAACAATGCAGAGTGCAGAGATTTATCATGCTAGACGACTGTTTTAGATCTCCAGAAGCTGCTAAGAGAGACAGATCAGCACAACCTGACTTAGAAACACTAAGGTCACTTCAGTCAGTGTGGTCTTCACGAATACATGTTCCTGAATGAAAAATCATCTGTTTTGCAGTAGATTTTAGTACCTTTTGTTAGAAACCCTCTATGCTCAAAGCCTTAAGCAGGAACTTCAGGCTTCACTGCATCAGGCCTCCCTAGAAAGTCCAGTAACAGCCATAAAAGGGCTTTATAATTTAAGGTGAAAAGGCGTGATTACGAGTCTCAAAACCCTAAGTGCCAAAAAGCATTTTAAACAGGAGAAGACTGACAAGCCTGTCAGTGGTAATGCATCTGTATTTGCATCTGACCTGAAAGCACTTTCAACATCTGCAAGGCAAAAAAAAAACAACGGAAGAAAGGTTGTCTTGGAATGAAAGATTAACGACACAGCGAAATGCCTAGTTCTGGTGGGAAAGCCTTATACCCCAAATCCAGTTGTCACCTAGAATTGAACATTCTTTGGAATGAGCTCTTTCTTTAGGGTTATATATTTGTCTTCTTGCATGCTAAAGTAAGGACAAGGAGGACAAAAAGAATATATTTCACATCTTTTTAAACTGTGAACCCACAGGCACTGGTTCAAAGATGAAGACTGAGCTGTCTGTCAACTTGGATAGATGTCTCCTTTGTAAATACTTTAGTGACTAGCTTCCTTGTGGTCTGGCCGTGGTATTTGTAATCACTTCTTAGCATAAGGGATTGGAAAAAAGTATCAGTTTCAATAGATTGACAATAGGTCAAAGTCTCTGTTGACAAAGTTTGGAGAGTGAAAGCCAAAAATATTTTAACCATCGACTGTTTATTTTGTTTAGCAAAATAAACCCATACATGAAATTAATGAATGGGTCTTGCAAAGGCATATGCAAACTAGAGAAAAAAATATTAACATTTCTTTTACAGTTACTGGCTCATTACTCTCAGTTGCCATTGTATCTGTAACATGATGTAGATTCACAGGTTTTGATATGGAATTTGATTATACTTATTATTATACTGTAATGCTGTGCAATAATCTTATTACACTGTAAATTGTAAATGTGTCATAAATTGATCAAATACATATGCCTTTGTAAAAAGGAAAGTTTTGAAGTAATTTTACAGTATTTTTCCAGATATGCTTAAGTCCAGTTTCAGCTGTAATTAACATAAGGAGAGCTCTCTTGAAGCCATTTACAGAATGAAATGTCTCTAGGGGTTAGTAAATTGCATGCTTTTGAGGTAATTTCCTAAGGAAGAAGCTTTTATACCTTACTATGAAATCTCTTAGCCACCTCCTATGGAGCTGCAGTTGACTTTCATAAACAGCATAATGACTACATGTCAAAGAAAGAGTGATAAACTGTGGCTCTTCAAAGAAATAAAAGGTGCCTACAAGCTTTCTTTCTTTCTGCTGACATGTATAACATAAAATTAGTTCACAAAGACATGGAAAATATACTTTCTTTTGCAAAGGTGGGCAATTATTTTAAACATTGCAAAGCAACTATAGTGTCCTTGTTTAAATTTTTTTTTTTTTTTTTTGAGACAGGGTCTCATTCTGTCGCCCAGGCTGGAGTGCAGTGATGCCATCTGGCTCACTGCAACCTCCACCTCCTGGGTTCAAGCGATTCTCCTGCCTCAGCCTCCCAAGTAGCTGGGAACACAGGCATATGCCACCATGCCTGGCTAATTTTTGCATTTTTAGTAGAGATGGGGTTTCAACATGTTGGCCAGGCTGGTCTCAAACTCCTGTCCTTAGTGAGCCACACACCTCAGCCTCCCAAAGTGCTGAGCCACCATGCCCAGCCTTGTTTAAAATATTTTGCTTATTATTGTTTTATTAAGGAAGAAGAAAACTCTTCAGCAATGTAAGTATTTTTTAAATACACCTTAATAAAAATCATATTATATATTGTGAAAAAAACAAGCAAAAAAAATCTTAACCAAAGTTCCCAGGAACTTAATAATTATAGGCTTAAAAGGATAAATTTACATATGTAAGTCCATGTTCTTTGCATTAAAACTTACGGAATCCTACATATTCTTCCATGTATTTAACTAGCATCATGTCCTGTCCTATCCTATCCTATCCTGTCCTGTCCTGTCCTGTCCTGTCCTGTCCTGTCCTTTCTTAGTGTGAATAAATGTGTCACTGCTGTTCATGAATGTCTCATCATTATATGGTGGCTTAGTGTAGATGTACACATTGCAGGTCTCGCATTTTGTGTGTGTGTGTGTGTTTTTAATTAACTGAGCTATTATAAGTGCAACCAAATACTATTCATCAAGATTTTAAGAAAGAAATTATTCTGCCAAAAGCAATTCATTGCAAGAATAGTAAATATTTTGAATGAACTAGTCTCAATAGTAAATATTTATATGTGTAATAGAAACAAAAGAAATAATCATATTATCTTGAGAATATAATTCAAAATAGAATTAAGGTAAATAAAAAATGGTTTTAGATTCCTAAAGTTAAAATAAGTTATATTTAAGAAATTTGGTGCCATAGTAATATTACATTAAATGTCTTTAGTGTTTTTTGAGTTTTCAAAACACTTTCAAATATACCATCTTTTCTAGTCTTCATAATAGCTTCTTAAGGCAGACAGGGTTAGTCACCATTTTCCAAATAAGAGATTGATGCTCAAAATGGTTGTTAGTTTTCCAAGTTTATGCAACAAAATATGATAAAGCCTAACACCTGTATTCCTCTTTTCCAACCCAATGTTATTTTCATATGGACTCCTAATATAAAAAGAAGACTAATATAAATAATATAAATAGAAAGACTAATATAGATATAATATAAATAGAAAGATACATAATATAAATAGAAGACTATATAATTAGAACTCTATATAATTAGAATTCTATATAAATCAAAGACTTCTATATAAATAGAAGACTATATGACTATATATAAATAGAAGTTTATATAATATAAAGATTAATAGACATAATATAAATATAAAGATATATAATATAAATAGAAAGACTCCCAAAAGAAACTCATCCCCAAATGTCTATAGACAAGGATTTGTTTCCCATGGCCCCTATACATGTAAAGCACTACTTATTACCTAAACCCTCGCTCACAACACCCTCCATCACCCCAGCTGCCACAGTCCCTGCCCTGGGAATCCAGGGACCTCCGCATGATCCAACAACTGAAGGATTAAGGCCTGGTTGGGCAGGAGACCTTGGGGATCTTCCTCCCGTCTTCTAGCTGGAGTGTCTTCTGAATGGTCAGTGGCATGGCAAACAGGTAATTCAACATTTTGAAAATCGCCCTTGGTTTCACATGCCCATCTCAAAATGACCATAGTCCAAAACATTTGGCATACAGAATATGGTAACTGTTCCCAAATTGCTTAGTTCTCTTGTATTTCCTATTATAGGGTACTTCATGAGAGACTGATCTCTTGGTTTCTTTTTGTGTATGTGGTGAAAACCACTTTAGGGTAAAGTGTAAAAATGAAGAGAAGAGTATTTTCTATCATTGACAAGGAACATGCGAAATCCGTGGTATATGAAACATTAGGAGTATATGAGGTCAACTATTAGACACATGAGATGAGGTCATGTTTAATGTTTGTACTTAATAGTTGCTACAAATAGTTAATAAAGACAAACAAGGACTAATGTCTCTAGGAGGAAATATAACACAATTTTTAACCAAATTCAATCAAAGTAATATTTTTTGAGGATCTCCACAGTGAAGGTACTTGGTTAGGTATTAGCTATTCAAATTTTGGAAAGAAGCCCACGGTTCAGTGGGGTAGAGACAAATTATAAATAAATCAATAAATGAGGCCCAATAGATCCACTATTCTCAAAACTAATTATTTGTTTTATATTAGGTCTTTCCTCTTAGTTCAATGATTAGTATACACATAATGAATGACAGGCAATAGAAGGTAGCAAGAGAAGACAAATCTACAGTCAACACCAGTTGGAGCCCTGGTTTTGCCATTTCCTTGTCTCTTAACTTTGCAAAAGTACTTTAAATAGATTCAAACACATCTTTGACCCTCATATACCAGTTTCCTGGAATTTTATATCCTTTCTGGAGTGTGTACAATTCATGTAGAAAATGTTACAGATTTAAATCTAACAACTGGTCTAAGTGGTTGAGTTGAGGAGACAAAGGAGAGTCTAGATTTGAAGACATTTTTGGGATTAATTATCAGAATTGTGTGATCATTTGGATGTGGACTATGAGGAAAAGGGAATAAAGATGACCCCTAGTTTTTTAGCTTAGGGAACTGCTTAGGTGACATTGTCGTTAATGCAAGAGAGAAGGCAGAAGGAACTGGTTTGGGAAAGAAAATAGTGGCTTCTTTTTAGGACCTGTTATGATCGAGGTATCTGTGGGAGTCACTGGACTCCTTTTGGGCACCACCTTCAAGCCTCTCAGCTGTGCTTCTGATTCCAACCAAGTCATAATAAGCATTTGGTACAGGTTTTGACCCACTTCCTGCTGACCATGCCCATCTTGAAATATCAACTGTGGAATGCTAGCTTCTTCCCATAGGGATTTCTCTGACACTATGGTGTGCGATGCCCATGGCCAGGAAGCCCACTCACATTCATACATACGCAACCAGAATGCAAGGGAATAAACACTAAGTGGGAAAATTGGAAAGAAAGGGGTGATGGCAGCGCATGAATAGATGGATGGATTTATTTTGGTTTTGTTTTTTATTAATTTTGTTTGGTCTACTAAATGTGTCAAGTTTCATGCTGTCACGTGGGATGCTGAAATTAAATGAGTTCACAGAAGTTAGTTGGTTTTCCCTGACAGGAACTGAAATTTTTGTTGTTGTTGTTGTTTGTTTTTTTCTGAAGGTTTGACGTTTAAAGGGAATTTAGAATAAGAAGTGAAATTCTTGAACAAAAGGCTTTAATTTATAAGAGACAATTTGTGCCTCCAAAGGCATAGCTCTGAGCACTGCTAAGGATTTAGTGGTGGGTGAACCCTGTGGGTTTTAGGAATCTCTTTGGTTTATGGTGCAAGGCACCAAATCCCTTCTATTAGTGGTTTCCAACGCCTCAAAACTAAGAGCCCTTTCTACAAGAAATAAAAAACATCAGGAGAACTCTATGTAATAGCTGTTGATTAAGGAAATACATAATGTTAGTGAGCTATTATAAATTCACTATGTCTTTGAAATAAATGTTTTATTTTAATAGATTAGAGCAGCACCCACATAAGTTTGGAAATACAGGTCATATATCTGGAAGTCTAAACAATGAAAGCATCAAAAATGGAGACTTCCCATTTTTCTTTATGACCATCCCTTTAAAAAAATCACTGTAATAATTGAAGGGCAATTTGTTATAAGACATACAATGAAGACAACATATTACAGGAATAAATAAGTAATATTGACAGGGTGATTTGTCTCAAACAATTGAAACACTGACACATCAGTTTTGCTGTTTGCATATTTTGGCAAGTAACAAATGTTTTAAAGATTTAAGCTGCAATGGTTAAAATGCATATTTTTATGCATCTCATTTCTTAATTTATATAACAGAAAGAAAACCCATAAGAAAACAACCAGAAAATTTGATAAATAAATCGTTACTTTTATCGTTATGCCCTTTTTGAATTAACCTATCTAAACTCTGGAAATATCATTAATTTGGAACAAGTTATTTCTGTATAATCTGAGTAAACAATCTTCTACCGTATGTTTAAGATGTATGTGGAAGAGCAATGTTTTGAGATCGAATGTATATTTTGGTTACTTTTAAAATTTTTCCCTTAACTTTATTCAAGCATGGAGCTCAGTGTTATCAGTGAAGATTTTTCAGTAAGGACACTCCTTTGTAATGTAAAATAAAATCACCACAAAAGCTTATTTACTGGCTCCCCTGGAAAGTCCAAGCATGACTGGAACCAAAGCTCAAATGTTATCTGTCTCTTCCCATCTCTCCGCTCTGCTTCCCTCTGGGCTGGTTTCTTTCTCCTGAGGGCTCTCTCCCTGGCTCCCAGCAGCTCTAGGCCTATTGACGCCAGCAGAGACAGCCTCTATCCTACTGTCCCCATCATTCCTGGATTGGATCTTAACGGCCTAGCTTGAGTCTCCTCTCCGTCTCTTAGCCAGGGTCCAAGGAATGAAATGCCCTTATTGGCCAGGACTAGGTCATGGGTTTATTACAAGAAAAATTGCTCCCTTATAAGCAAAGGGAAGATAAGAAGAATGTATATTCCCAAAGGAAATTGAGTGCTTTGCCAAAATAAAGAACAGTTACTGGGCCAACAAAGGCAAAAATATTCAATTCACCTAGTCTTAAGAATTTTTAGAGGGATTACAGCAGAATTTTGCCTGAAGATCACATTCTGATAGATCCTGAGACCACAGGGATCCCAGAAGCCCAGGAGCCAGAGAGCAACTGGATAGCAAGTGGCCATAGACTGGGCCTTGCGGTGGTGACCAATGGGAAACACAGGGGCCTCCTCATGCCGTGGTGCTGTACAAAGCCCGAGAACCTTCACATAAACGTGGGGAAAGAAACCCGGTAGTGACTATAATGGGATTTCCTGTCAGCCTGGTCTGTTGGGTGCTTGGTGTCTGATGACTAAGATTTATGTGACCACTCATATTATTTACAGAAAGTACTTAGAGCATGTATGGATTTATGCCAACTTTGAAAAAATTATACGACACCCTAGGAACCTGTGAGCTATGGATTAGAAACTGCTCTTTAGAACGAGGTAACATTTCTCTGATCTGGAAACTGAATACATTCCTAAACATGCCTAGTTCTCTATCTTTTAATACAAAACTTTGGGCATTAACAGGATATGCAAGTCATAAACATGGCGTCTAAGAATGCATATTTTGTAGTTGACTGCAAGAGTTCAAATCCCTACCTCAAAAACAAACAAAAAAATCTGTTTCATCACTTTGTAGTTGTGTGGTCTTGGCAAAGCCAGTTAACATTTGTAAGTCTCAGGTCCTCATCTTTAAAATGAAAATAAAAGCAGTACAGGTTGATGTAAAGGTTTGAAAGGCTATTGCTTATACAGTGTTAACACACTTGACATATAGTAAATGCTCAATAAATGTCAGCAGCTATTATCAAGCCCCAAGAAAGTTGGAAAGGGTCAGGGTATATCTATCACCACATTTCAAACACCAACGCAAAATGCTTAGCTTAAAGACCTTCAGGTGCAATTGGCTGAATTACTGAGGGACAGATTTGCCAAGCAGTGGAGAAGGGATGTATTGCTAGTTCTGTTTGTATTTATCATAACCCAGTTGTCAGCTGGATGCCTTCCTACCTCCACCTGCAGCCATCAACCAATCAACACATCTCCCTGGCCTTACCTACATGCTCCCAACACAAGATTTAGGTACACATGGCATACACTCCTCATTTTCATGACCGGGAAATTCCACGCTTTCCGCTTATTTCTGACAACTCACTGCATCTTCTCCCTGTGCCTGTATATGCTGCCTGCTGCCTTGTTTCAGCCTCTGCTGATCTAGATCCAAAATTCTGCTTCTTAGCTGATTTCTGCAAAAGATCAATTCAAACCAACAATTTCACACATTCTCAAACTTTCCTAAAGTTTCACAAGGTCGTGGGAAGAGGTCACATCTCATGCTGCCATTTGACTAGACCCACCCTATTCATGCTCTTCTTCCTTTGCTCTGACCTCTCTGGAATAACAAGCAATTCTTACTTACATCCCTTGGAATGAAGTTTTTACTTCCAAGTAAAATTATCAAGATATATTTTCCAAACAAATACAGTTTTCTTACTGAGGAATTGTGTCACAGATGTTGGAGAAATAATGTTTTTAACCTCATGACATTATGTTAGGTTTTATTCTATACACCCATATAGGAGACACACAGCATGCACTTACTTTGAAAAAGGTTCTATATGGGAGATGAAACCTGGAGCATAGATGCTACTATGACCGAATCTACCAAGAATGAAATTATATCACATTTCAATGTACCAATAATGAATGTCAAGGATATAATGAATCTGTAAGAATTTTAAAATGAAATATTAAGGTGTTTTAAAATTCAAAATGTGGATATTTAAGTCTTGACAACTGACAGACTTTTATCTCTATTTCAATGATATTTTATATATAATTTGTATTTATTTAATTAAACTCGGGGGATTACATCTAAAAAAAAAACTTGAATATCTAGCCTATAGGAAATTGAGATTCTTACAGACAATCTGCATTTCCAAGAGAAGAGAACTCTGAAATTACAAAATTGTTTACTTAGAAAGCTAATAAAAAATATAAACTTCAGGAAAGCAGCAGCTGTTTCTCTTTTGTTCACTAATATGTTCCAAGCTCCTGAAACAGACTCTGGCAGATAATCCACAATTGCAAATTAGTTAACACACAATAATTCATAGAACTTCATTTATCCTACACACATTTATTATTTGCCTATTTTATGTCTGACTGGTTCTAGGTGACTTGGAGATCTGATTTTATTTTTAAGGTCCCAAAATATTAAAATTTCTACCACTTTCTTAGGGAGATTAGTAGCTCTCAGAAAGTTTTCCCTGACAGGCTGTCGCAATGGCTCACACCTGTAATCCCAGCACTTTGGGAGGCCGAGGCAGGCAGATCATGAGGTGAGGAGATCGAGACCATCTTGGCTAACACGGTGAAACCCTGTCTCTACTAAAAATACAAAAAATTAGCCAGGCATGGTAGCAGGCCCCTGTAGTCCCAGCTACTCGGGAGGCTGAGGCAGGAGAGTGGTGTGAACCCGGGAGGGCAGAGCTTGCAGTGAGCGGAGATTGCGTCACTGCACTCCAGCCTGGGCGACAGACTCCGTCTCAAAAAAAAAAAAAAATTTTTCCCTGACAATTAAGTGTTTCATTTTTCTTTTAATCTTTCCTCATAACTCAATCCTTCAGTTTTCTGCTCAGTTGTTCTTTACTGACCTATGTGCAATTAGGCAGTATCTTTTTCTGAACTGTATGCATGCCCTAAACAAAGCATTATATTCCAGGCATGAACCCTCAAGTCATTTTGCAAGGAACTGTTCTCTGATTTTAGGCACAATAATTGTTAAAATGTAGTTTTTGTAGCATTGAGTTTTCTTTATTTTTCACTGACATAATTGCTATTGAAAGTTTCTTTTCTTACCTTCACTTGGAGCTCTTTCAGAGTAACCGCCTTTCGTGTCTTTATCAGTTCCATCAGTATCTTGCTACCGCTAACATGTAAGAAACATCTACAGCCAACTTTGAGAAATATTTTCCATATATTTTTTCATGTAATTCTCACAAAATAAAACCCTTATGGTGCAAATATTATTACTGTGACTTCAACATAGATAAGAGAACAGGGGTCACATATAACGAACTGAGATTTCAGCCTGGGTGTTCTGATTGAAGTGCTTAATCTCTCCGTTAATGTTGTCATACATGTTAGATTAAGTTTATTCACACCATCTTTCCTTTACTTTTGGTTAATATTTTTAACTTCTGTGTCTTTTGTTGATCTATACCTCAAGACAAAATCTTGGGATTGTAAAGTTCTTATTTTTCTTCAAGGTTTAAGTAAAAATACATGTTCAACTTGGAAATAGATGTTTGTTAGTGGCCAATTAAGTATCTACTCATCCATTCATGTCTTCCGCCATATTAAGAACATCCAAGTTTACCTTTGGGAATATCAGCCTTCTCCCGCTGTGTAGCAGAGTCCTGCCTCCAGGTATGGACTCTGACTGATGTTAATCTGTTAATCTAATCTCCGTTGATTGAGGGAGGAGCAGCAATTTAGATTAAAGTCAATCAGGATATAAAGATCATCTGACTTCAGTGACTGGCTCAGGTGGGTCTAGACTGTAATTCAGGCATCTATGCGGTGGTGGAAGGGAAAAAAGTCCGTTCTCTGGCTCAGAACAGTATGATGAACTGATATGCACTCTCACTTTTATATCTAAATTTAAATTTTTTTCTCTTTCACTTGATCGAGAAATTTCTTTCAAATTTCTTCTTTTGAACGATACCTTCTATGTTTAATTCTGTCCTAGGAATAACTTTTAAAAACTCATTCAAATTAATTTCTCTAATTTCCTAATCTTTTCTTTCTTGAAGTTCAGTTTACTTGAAAATCTTTTCCTGAAACTCATTTATTAGTGCACTGAGTTATCACAGTTCAAGGTCACCAGTAGCAAAGTTGCCTCTTAAAGTCACATTGCAAATTAATTAGTTCCTGCCAATAAGCTGTACATATAATATGTCTTTGTCTCCATTCAGACCACAAAAACCATATAATGCTGATGGTGGAAGAAAACCTAGGGGTCATCTAATCCTACTTAATTATTTTACAGATGGGAAAATTGGGGCCAAAAGAAATTATGTGACCTGCCTAAGGTCACACAGTTAATGGGAGGTGTCCTGTGATTCCTGGCTCTTTCCATTAAATCATGCCTCCTCATATTCAATGAAGCCTACCAAAATTAAATAAATAAAACCTTGTATTTCAGGAAATGAGTCCAATATCATAATGTCTGGTACAATCAGTATGCCATAAACCATGGAGGCAACTTAAAAGGGGCACTAAATTGAACTGAATTGATTTTCAACTCTCAATGCAAATTAATATAATTTTTCTGTGGATAAAATTCTATTTAAATTTTGACGCTCACTGAAAATTAACTTTTAAATAATTTTGGATCATAAAGTTGACTTGATGCTAGGAAACTATGTTGCAGATGCAATATATTTGCTTTTATAAGACAACAGAAATTTAGATGTAAAATAACACCATTTTTGGTAGACTTTTCTTTACCTGCTTTAAGATAGTGATAATTAAATACTAAAATATTTTTTCATGTGGTTCCTATGGAGCAGATAGACATTCTTCTTTTGTTCTCCTCATTTGCAGCATGGTTTTATTAAAAGCTCTCTGATCATCAGAATCAGTCCTGAAGCTTTTTTAAAGTGCAGATTTTCAACTGCATCCCAAATCAGAACCTCAGAGGGAGAGCTCAGATAGGTGTATTGTTTAAAAAGTCCTCTGGTAATTCTGCTAGTTGGTCTAGTTAAGAAGCATAGTGCTCTAGCATTTTATGAAATATGCATCTGGAAACATTTTACTGTTAAAAAAGAAAATTCCATCATACAATCATACCCAAATATACTCATTCAGTGGACAATGGATAAGTGGAATATTATCAAGACAGTCACATCTTCTTCATTGGTAAAAATAAACATGTAAACAAATTCCAAATTTCATTGACTCTAAGATACCATTAATTGTAAGACGAACCATTATTTGTGCACCGCTAAGAAAAGAAGAACGTTGGTAGTTGAGCTGACATGCCATTAATTCTAAGTTGCTTTGTGATTTAAAGTTGATAAAAACATGCATTTTAAAATTGATGGTGTACAGTAAGTTCTACTGTAGTAATTGAAGTTATAGTGGTGCCTGCCTGGTTGAAAGTGAGTAAAAGAGGGAGATCAACCTCCAGGATATGAGGAAAAGGGAAAACCCGTATTAATGATTCTAGCAAGACATCTCTGTGGGTCTTATAAGCATCAACATCTAAGGCTTTCCTGATAGCTAGATATTCATCCTGCTGAGCTCTGAGTTCCCATGATGTCTTAGGGAGGAGCTTTGCATAAAACCGATGGCAGGATGGGGCCCTTCATCTACAGGTCTGACTTCGATGCACACCTTCACCTTCCTCCACCTTCCACACACACATCTCTGAGAGGTCACTGAGAAGCAAAGCACTGAGGGCAAACCATGCTTTTAAAAAGTGATTTTTCATAAGGGTGACATTGGATAGTTGCTGTGTATCTAGGAGGGAGGATTTAATTTTAATAGGCATCATATTATCATTTCTTGTACCAAAAATGTAGGAGTTGAATTTCCTCTTATGGTACTTGCTTCTAGTTTGTCTCATTTTTAAAAGCCAAGATTTAAACTGAAAGTTTTTACTTTTAACAATACAGTACTTATTGGAAAAAATGGATAAAACTTGAAGCTAGACTTTTCCATTCTCCGTCCTTGATATTCAGTGTGAATAATGATACATTTGGATTTATCTGTCCTTTTCGTTTCATAACTACTCATACTGATTTCATGAACACAATATCCTTTTTATTTATAATCTTAATTTTATATATTTTAAATTCTATTCTGGTTGCTTTGCTAACTTTGTTTACTTTGATATTGTGTATACCGCCTCCATTTATGCTGTAGGCATTCCTTAAATATATTACAGTTTTGGATTGTGCATTCATGTGTACCACTGACAGTCCTTATTAGATTGCTGGAAGCATCCATTTGTATAGTTTATTTGGGAGAAAGTAGGAGCTGCTTCTGTAGCTTCCGAAGAAATGCCATGCTGTTTTTAGTGAGAAAGGGGGAGGGGCAAGATATGTCACTGGGCAGTCACTGTTTTCACGATCATGGGTGTTCCCCCTTCATCTAAGCAACATCAACCATCAGGAGCACTGCCCTTTCTCTTCAACCAGGGTACCCCTTTTCATTGTTCCTAATTGGTGGCAGACTTCCTGCCTAGGTTTTGTGGTCCAAAGTAGAAACATGAACAGCGCACAGTATGTATTTCTGCTCCTTACTAATGACCTCCAAATAATGATCTTATCCAATGCCTAGGCCCCAACTATGCTGGGCTTCCACTGCCTCTGTCTGCGGCCCACCATTAGTGTTTCCTTTCACACATTCTTACCTACAATTTCTCTGTTCCGTTTCATCCCGTCTGCTTTCCAGTGTTCATGAATTCATCACAAATTTTGGTCTTCTGAGTTTGATGTCTTATTTTCAAGAGCAGTGACATATGTAGGCATGTTGTACGTGTATTTTTAGAGATAATGAAGGATTGACTGTCAATTTGATCTTTTATCACCTCTCTGCTTCATATTTCAGGGAACTTCGGTTTCTGGGTTCCCTGTCTACTTCTGGGCCACTTTGCAAATAACAGGCACTGGCAAAGATTACAAGATTGGAGAAGGGGAAAAGCCAGATTATTTCCCTCCCTCCTCTCTGCTTCTTTTGGCATTTTGAGCAACGGCTTTGTTTCCTCTGTGACATCAGCACCCACTCACTGCCTCCTTTTAGGGTCCCAGGCGAGGGTTGGGACCATAGCTGGATGGCTCTACCTCCTGAGTTCTATCACCAGAGTGTAGAAATAGTGGCTCTCTGCTGTTTTATATCTTTTATTTCTCTTTCTCCTGTTTTCCTTCTTTGCATTTCCATCATGTGGTAACCGATGTCCTGTATTAAATTCCTTTTATTAAAAAGGCAGAATGATTTGTTTTCTTGATGATCCCTGAATGATACAAAGTAGGAGACCAAAACCTGTTCTCAGTTCATCACCTTGAAATGAAGGCCTAGAAATGTTAATCCATTTTAAAAGCAGAGTTTAAATGCTATTTAAAATCATATATAATAGAAAACCATATAAGCACCCGCCAGTTTAAGTCCAGAACTTCCTAGCTAAGTAATTTGTTAGAGTAGTTGGATTATTCCAGTCTTTACACAGTTCTCCATTTTCTAGTGTACTTGCAGTAGTGCCTTAGTGACAATGATTATTATTTATCTAATGCTGCCAATTTCCATTTAGATATTTGCAACCTGGTATAAATAAAAATCATTTTCAACTTGCACTGTACCCATTTTTCTATTTAAAAAAAATTGGATGTCAACTCTATCCAGGGTTTGGCAGTTTGTTGTCACTTTATTACTGCCATGTTTAGGATGAGAGACATTGATTCAGCCACCAACAGCCTTTAATCATCCATGTATTTTAATTGCTTTGGCAAGCACTTTACCTGTTGTTGCTGCCTGTTCAACCCAAGAAATCAAAATCCTTAAAACTTACTTTTCCAAAGAGAATTCCCTGCCTGTATTCTCGCTGTTTCATGACAGGCAAGGAAAAGACAGTTATCAAGGGGCTGCTGTTATGCATGTCGTATTTCTCCAAGGCCCTTTTCCTCTCAAGAATCCATAAGTAGCTCTTCTCTCAATTGACTCCTTGCTCTTAACTAAAATTTGAAGTTCAAATCTGCTATTATGTATTACTTTGAATGATTCGAGATTATTCATTACTAGTTCAGCATAATGTTTTTGTTTAACTAGAGACTTTTTAATGGCCTAACTTCTCTTTTTTTCATGAATATTTACACTGTTGAACTATAAAAGCTTTCAGTCATCCAGGTTATGGTTTGTTCACAGGTGTTTGCAATTAAAGCAAATATTTTTTTCTTTGGATTAACTATCATTTATTGAGTGCCAATTATTATATAATTTCAAATATATAATTTATATATTGTTGCCTTGTTAGATATGTTATTACCCTTATTTTAAAACCAAACTCAGATTTAACAAATTTATATAGCTAATAAACATAGTCCGGTTTCTTTTCTACTAAATTAAACTGTTAGAATCATTGATTTTGTTGATTTGCAACATTTGTAACTGATGATCTGGTGCATTTTTCAAATTTTGTATTGTTGTGACAGGACGTGATTTTTGGAATAAGATTAAAATTTCCAGGGTCTCAGGTATTGGCTGCTTTTGTAAAGCAAATATATTTTAAAATGTTCTTTTATATATGAATACATCTTGTACTATGAAGTAATAAACATTATAATTATACCTGACAGCTAAAAATATTAGTTTGCATCTTCCTTTTCTAAATTTCAGAAACAACTTCAGATTTTGTTAAGGCTCTGAGAAACCACAGTTTTATAGCCACATAGAAGCTTTTGAAAAATGGTCTATGACAAAACAACTTCCAAACAGTGTCCCTAGTGAGTTTTAAGAGTTCCATCACTTCTTTGTTAAAACACCGAATCAAAAAACCCTGTTGATTTATTCAATCTAAAAGATTCCATAGGACTAGACTCTTTGAAGATGGCCGAAGAACTGCTACCAGGTAAGAAAAAAAAGTTTTTACCTGTCATTCTGGAACTTAAAATAGACTCTTCTCCATTCTGCTCAATCTCACCTGCTAGCAGAGTTTCACCCACTGGTCTGACTGAGGTTACATGCTCTGTCTCACGTATTTGTGCTGATGGAAAACGTTTTACTTCTGGGAGTTAAAACAAGACTCCATGGCATATCAATGCCAATATTATTAAGATTCTCTACACAGGAAACAGACGATGTGCATCGTTTTCTATATTGATTTATTTTCCCCCACTTTCCATCTGGAACTACCATTTTCAAGCAATCACCACAAATATGTGGAGGGCCAATTTAGCAGCCTGTGTAAGTACTTACGCTTTGGAAAACTCTTTTTTATTTTTTATTTTGGATTCCACAGGGACAGCCAATGTGGGCACATTTAGCATCAGCTTTTAGTCCCAGTTCACTCCTTCCTGCCTGAGTTTCTAAGCCACATATGCTTTCATCATTCCAGCCCACTGACTCATTGAAAAAATAAATACTGAGGTGATAATTAATTAGAAAGGCTGCATTTCCCTTTCCTACAACAAGTTAAGTGTTTCTTCCTGCCAGCATTCGGCTTTCAGGAAAGGAGGTGTGTAATGTCCTTATGTTTGGGTTTACATTGGTTCATTTTTCATCAGATTCTCCAAGCTTTGATAACTGTGGCTTAATATTCATAACATTTTGCTTGGATTTTTAACTTTATTCAAAACCCATATAACTTCCACAACCAGTTGAGACAAACCAGATGAAAGATTCCAACCACATCCACTCACCACACCAATTTGTTGCTGTTTCCTTAGGTTTCTGGTCCCCCATCTGTGTGGCTTGGTTCGTGTGAGGCCAGATGCAGAAATGGGTGGGAAATTATTACCTAACTAAAGGAGTGTTAATCATTTCCACTTAATAGAGGGAGAGTTTTTATTGCTACTTTACTGATGGACTCTTTCCCCAAGGCAAGAAACAATAACAAAATCCCTCCTACCTGCCTGTCTCAAAGGAATTCTAATCTGTCTGGGAAATAACCAGCACCAAGGGATGTTTATTGAATGCCCTCAGGCAGGTGGTACTCCTTTGGATGTCCTAGGAATTGTAGAACAGTTTAAACAAGCATTGGTTAAGCCAGGTGAAAAGAATAAGCACTAAACTTGGACTCAAAGGTTCCAGGTTCCAGTCCTGGCCTGTATTTATCAGCTGTGACCTTGGAACTCTCAAGAACTGTCACTATTTATCGAACAACTCAAATTTGCCGAGCATTTTACATTCATTACTAAAAATGTCAGAAACCCTACAATAATTACTGAGCCCCATTTTGCAGATTAAAACAGAGTAAGGCACAAAGAGTTTCAATGACCTGTTCAAGTCCAAACAGCAATTTGCTGAGCCAGGAACTAGCTCTGGGTTTTATTTTTCTGACTCCAAAGGCTACTACTTTTCACGATACTATGACAAATAATTTTCCTTTTCTGAGTTTTAGTTTTGATTTACTTTAATCTAACAAAATACAGTGATTGGGCTAAACCTTAAAAATGCCTTTGAACTTGGATACCATATGATTCTATAATTGAGCCTAAGCCTTAGACCTGGGGAGATTACAGTTTGGTTCAGTTCAGCCCGAACAATACACATATTTATAAAGTAAAGCTGGGCAGCAGCGCTGGGTAGGAAGGAGGTGGAGGTGGTATGAGATTAAGGGTCTGGTATTAATCTGGAAAAGCTTCCGGCCTAAAGGGTTTTCATCTGGTACAGGCAGGAAGAGGCACAATGTCAGGTGGCAGATGGGAGGAGGTCGGCTCAAGCCTCAGAGGAACTGGGGGCAAACACTGCTGCAGATGATTCAAAGTGAGAGACCATTAGCAGGTCTGACTGACCGAATAACAGACTCTCGGGATCAAGGCGCTCGTGCTGTGGAAAACGAAAATGGGCCCCTCACTCAGTATTCTTCCCTCCATGGGAATTCAATAAACATTATTGACTGACTGACAGGTGAACTGAACTGCAGAATTGCTTTGAAGCCCACAGCTACAAGCTATAATTGAGAAACTGTCAAGAGATTCAAATTCATGGAAAACCATGAAAGAATAATGTTTGCATGTTTCAGAGCTTGCCAAAATATAAAGTTTCCTTTCTGCTGTTAATTTCCTCCCCCTTCTAATTCATTTTTTTAAACTTTTCCATCAAGAAGAATTCTATTTTGTAACTATACATAGTTAAGATTTAGCATTTTTCTTTTCAGAATCTTCAAAATGTTAGCAAATGTTGACAATATAACTTTTCTAGTATCCTAGGAGGAAAAAGGGCACTGGTTGTAGATACTTCTCTAGTTTTTCCTAAGGTAAAACACTATTAAGAAAGGAATTCTAACAGCCATTGGATCACAAGCTACAAAGTAGCTCATTAAAAAATGCAGGCTGGGAAACTATAGCAGAACTCTTTATTATGAGTTCTAATTGTTTTTGTTTTTTTTTCTGTAACGTGGTATTAATCAATTGCTCCTAAGTGTGGCTTAGGAGATGCAATCTTTGAACCTATAAAAACAATCATATCTACTATGTGCCAAGCACCTTTTGCTAGAAACTTTTTGTGTATTATCCTTAAATCTCCAAGCAATTCTCTAACGTAGAGGAAATTTCAGGACAGAGTGGTTCAATAACACCCAAAGCGGCAAAGCCAGGGTTGCAACTCTGGTCTGTTTGACCCCAGATTTTTTGCTGCTTCCATGCTGCACCTTATAAAACATAACTTTAGACTGACAAGTACCTGTGCTTGCCCTCTAACAAAAGTCATTGACATACATATTTAATAATTATTTCAGAATATCTTTAGACCTTTACAGAATCACTTGAAATATGCCATAAAGCACAGCCACTCCAAAATATTTCTCTTACCTTGACAGGAAGGAAATTTTCAATTTTGAAGTTAATGGGTCCACCCAGACCCCATCAAAAACTGGGATAGTTGTGAAGAAATGTTTACCAGAAATCTAAAACTGTTGTTTAAATAAGGGCAAAACCTGGGGTCAGGCAAATTTGCGATGAGTGGGATCCTGCCGCATTTATTAACTGTCACCTTGGAAGATGGAAGATTTTGCCCTTAGTGGGGTGATAGCTAGATTTGGTAAGATTAGTTTCCTGCAGAAATGGGGTATGGAGTTAGATTTCAGGAAAGAAGACATCAGAACAGAACAAATAAATGGCTGGAATGAAAAATATCAAGTGTCCTCCATGGATTGGTGTCCATCCCCCCCAAAAAAATCTTTTACCTTTCCCACTATTAAATGACAAGGGGGAGCTAAATGACTGTCAACTAAATAACATTCCTGTTCTGAGTTTCTCTGAATGTATTTTGCTGAGAAAGGAAAGTACGAGGGCCTGTGGCTTAAAAAAATTAAAAAAATTTTTTAAAGTGGCTACAAAACCCAAATTTCTCCAGAGAAAAAAGAGAAGTTACACAGCAAAGCACAGCTTGAGATTTTAGCCTAAAGCATCAATAGAACTATGGGTGCATATCCACAGACTCCTCTAAATCAGAGCCTTCCATGTTGTGCATGTGACATAGTCTGTATATTAACCTCTTTGGTACCTATTACAACTCCCTTTCCTCCTGCTTGCTTTGTCTTCAGATCTGAAAAGCATCTTGCATTGAAGCTAAGAATGGGCTTGTGATCTTGTGGTCAGTTCTCTCCAACAAGCTATAGGCAGAATTCTAGTGAAGACTTGCCTTCACATAAAAGAAGAAATCTTCCTTTTCTCCTTCCTGATGATTCCTGCCAGGAATTCAGATGCAACGCCACTTTGGCAGCATAATCTTGTGACCATGATTAGGAAAACCTCTCAGCGGGGATAGAAGAGTAAGAAAATAAGGCTTCCTTGATGACATTTGCTCCCAGCCTTTTTCCAGATTGTTGCATAAGAAAAGTAAACTCCCTACTGGTTTTAGACATTGCTTATTGTGTTTTCTGTTACAACCAAAAGCAATCCTAACAAATATGTGCATTTCTGAGATGCTTAATCCTATGTGCCCTATAGTCTTACAAACTTGCTTTGCTGTTCTCACACAGATCAATAATTACGATTATTACAATGTGCCTTACAAATGTGGCACAGTGTGTAGATAATAAACTGCTCTAGGTGAATTCCATTTATTCTAAATGTAAGAAATGACATGGATCACTATTAAAATCAAATCCATCTGCATGTAAACATCTATGCCTATGTGAACACAAATGTGTACCTATAGTTGGCCCATGAGCTCACAGCTACACCCCACACTGAGATTTTTGCAATTCAAAACAAATGTGCGAACTAAAAAATATTTCTTGATAAATGCCAGCAACCTGACCATTCCCACAGGTACTCAAAAAGCCTCAGGTACAATACTGCCATAGAAGGGCTGGGTGTTTGAAGACATCAACTAGGGTAGCCTCAGTTGGCAGATAGGATTTGGGTCAATAACCACTCCAAAAATAATCACTACAAAAGCAGTCAAAAGGCTTCTTATTCTTTATATCAGATGGGTTATTTTTGTATTTGTGCACTTACTCTTGCCACAAAATCAGACTCAAAGACTGTGAAAATATAAAATGGATGGAGTGGAATTGAAGCCAGTACATAAAGAAGGTTGCTCTCCATGTTCTCCTGATTTCCTCATAGAATGTGGCTGACTTTCTGTTTTCTTAGCTTTGTCTGCTACTTACCTTCCCCATGGCAAAGACTGAGTTCTTTGTTCAAAGTAAAAAAACAGTCATTGTTTTATTTATTTCATGTCTTCATGTTTAATACATTGTCTTCTTTCTGTGGCACCAGTAGTAAGCTTTAATGTTCTTTTTTGTAAATGCTTGAATGAAAATATACATTAAACAAAGACAAAACATTTAAATTTCTTAACACGTACATGGCCTCTTTTTTAGTCTTTTCCTGTACAATTCTTCCTTTTTCTTGCTTTATTTAAACACATTGTTTTTAAATAAAGCAAGAAAAAGGAAGAATTGTATAGGAAAAGACTCACAAAGATTTTTTTTCAAATTCTGAAATTTAATTAGAAAACCTCACCCATTATACAGCAATTGGATATCATTTTAGAGCCATTCTTTTCCCCAGGGGGTTGGTAGTATACATGGGAGACTGAAATCTTCTGGCACATCAATCACCTAACACTTTCAGCCTTTCCTTTCAGGGTAGAACAGGCCCATATGAATATTTAACTACAGCTTTATTAAGGAAACTAGTGATAAATATAAGTTTGATATTAATCTAGGAAGGTAACTATGTACCTTGACCTATTAGCTCGCTCTTCTGAAAATTCTTAACATATATTGCCTTCATGTTTTAACTGCATCTTAACGAACAGACTGGCCTAGTCATTGTAATGGAGTAAAGACCACATTCTCAAAAATAACTGCTATAAATATCTGATATCTGAATAATTATTCATCTCCCTCAGTAGCATTACATTTTATTACAAAGTAAAAACCAAGCCTTCATTTTATGGTACTGGATTAGTTATCACACAATCAAGCCCAAGAGATACGATCTTCCTGCTATAAGCTTCAGAAGTAAAAATTATGTCTTCACATCACCACACATAAAATATATTAATTCCATCAATGGGACCTAAGTCCTGTTTGGTAATCTACCTTACCATTAAAAAACGTTTTTAAGTATTTTCACCAGAATTCTTTTCAGAGGATTCTTTTTTCATTCTAAAGAATTTTCAGAAATTCTTTAGAAAAAAATTCATGAACATTTGGGGCTGGTTGAAGGTGCAAATAAGATATTCTTCATAGTGTTCTACAAAACAAAGTGGAAGAATTTCCTGGTTATATCAGAAAGGTATGGAAAAGAGTGGAAAATGAGACACGGAGTAAGATGGGTGAAACTCTACAGAAAGACAACATTTCCCAAATATCTTCAATAAAGTTACAGGATCCTGATCTACTGTAGTTTGTGTGGATTAATTAACATATTCGTTTACTTATTCACTGACTTATTAAAATGGTGACAAGGAGAGCAGGTTGGACCCAGGGCTTTAGCAGGGAGGTGCAAGAAGTAGAAAAAAGGGAAGGAAATTTCAAATTTTAGGAGCTGTTTTACTAATACTTCACAGGGAAAAAAGCCACAAAGGAGTATGAGCTTCATAGGGTTTTTCCAGATCTTTCCAAGCACAACCCAGTGAGATTCTAAGCACAATCATCTCATATATGGAAAAATATTTGCTGAAGAATAATACCACTGCTATGTGCCCTAGATGAAAATTTTTATACTAACCTTTCTTAGTGAATATTTTTATATCATAAAGACTTAACTACTTATGCCTATAATTCTGAATATTCTCCAGTTAGATCATACTGAGTTGGTTATGAACAAATAGAGGTATTCCACCAGGTGTCCTTTAATGCAGCTGGAATAGGTTTCAAATAATGTTTAAAATTTGTCAGGAATTATATATTTTCAAAGCATGAAGATAAAGTGAATTATAAATTCTCTTTGTGCTGTTACTATGCAGCAGTCCCACTTTAGCTGATAAATACTAAGTACTTGCCATCCTTTTTGATTCATGGGAAATTAGTTTGAATTATGCATGTTATTCAAGGTAATCAGGGATGCTTCTTAGGCAAAGACTGTGATCATCCTGCTATTACAGAAATTGGGAAAAGCATCAGAGAGTAGCTAGAATGATATATGGAACTTGAATGACAGGACTGTGACAGCAGAAATGGGAAGATGTCATTTCCAAAAGACAGAAGACATGGAGACAAGAAAACAGGGTGTGTTTGGGAAGGAGCCTACGGTCTCAGTCATCTGGAGGGTGATGTACGGAGTCAGCATTAGGAGCCAGTTTTTGGCACTAGTGTTGATGTTCTCATGATGGAACAGTGGTCAGGCGTCTTCAGTGAGTTTTTCATGCATTGGGCGTTGACAAGTGAAAGCCAGAAAGGAATAAGTTGGATGATGCCAAGTGTTGACTACAGCTGGCAAATGGGAGTGATGGAGACCAAAATTATTAATGTATGACTGTTGCCGTCTTCCCCATCTGCACATCTACTCAAGAGGAATAGGACTTTTCTATACCATTTCTTCCTTTTCTCTACTTGCCTAGGAGAGCCCTGCCTTGTCAGTTCCATTCTTTTGGCTCTCACAATCAAGAATGAAAAATAGATTTTAAAAAGTACATAATCAGAGAGGCAGAAAAAGGCCTGTGCCACCGTTATTGGAATGCAACAATCTTCAGAAAAACCCAATACACAAGTTGAAAACAACTTTCCTTTAAAAAAAAGATCCACACAAAGTTAGATAATCAGAACCAGAAGTTTAAGGGATATTCTCTGCAGGGGGTAGCTCAGCACCATTATAATTTGGACATAAATATAATTTATATTCATTGGTTAGTGTGGTCAGGGGCTATTATGGTAGGCATAAATGAAAGGCTAGGGAGATTTTACTTAATTAGACAGGGACTTGGGAGCCATCGAGGGCTGCTGAACAAGGGGCCGATGTGATTAGTATTTTTAGGAAGAATATTCTAACAATTTATCCATTTAAGTGAAAGAAAAAAAATACAAGTGAAATCAGATAGGAGACTTTGAACTATGCCTGGTGAAAGGTACTGAGGAACTGTAATAAAACGGGAGACTGAGAATAGAAAAGAGAAAATGGCAAGGTATTTGGAAAGTAAAATTAACAGAACCATTGTAAGAGGCAAAGGAAAAGAAAGAGTTGACATTTGGTGCTTGAGGTCTCAGGAGCTGAAGGAATGAGAGTGCCATTAACATATGTAAGGATGCCAGGAGAAAAAGCTGACTTCAGGGTAGAAATAATCAGCTCAACTTTACCAAAGTTGTTTTTGATGTACAGGAAGAAATCTGAGTGAGGGTGACCAGTGAATAACTGGAAATGCAAGTATGAGAGGAAAGGTGTGTGTGGTGCTCACTTTTCACCACCATATGTATCTCCGAAGCTCAGCATATATTAGATGAGCAATGCACACTGTGTGCATATATACACATATGCATACACATGAATGCAGAATGAACACAGGGCTGTCCAATACTCTATTAGAGTTTTTATGATATACTATTGCTGTTTCCTCATGCTTGATTCTCTTTATAGATTCTGAGTTTTACATATACATCTTATGTCTTCATTATCAAGTGCCTGGTAGGCATTAAATCCTCAATACATGTTTGTTGAATTAATAAGTTAGTAGATCCTCTTTTAGTTTATATACAGCCCAATTCACAACTCTCAACTCCCTTTTTTAAATTAAAATAAGATAGATTTGCTAAATGCCATATTAATAAATAGCTAAATGTACATATCTATAAAACTTATTTTAAACAAAGAGTAACATCATGGGTTTGTCCCATTGCTTTGGGAATATAATTTCAGGTATTTTAACATTTGGTAATTCTGTTTGGGCTAACGGCTTCCTTAAAGTTGTCAGAAATTGAGGCCTGGCACAGTGGCTCACGCCTGTAATCCCAGCACTCTGGGAGACCAAGGCGGGTGGATCACTTGAGGTCAGGAGTTCGAGACCAGCCTGGACATCATGGCAGAAACAGTCTCTACTAAAAACACAAAAAATTAGTTGGATGTGGTGGCGGGTGCCTGTAGTCCCAGCTACTTGGGAGGCTGAGGCAGGAGAATCCCTTGAACTTGGGAGTTGGAGGCTGCAGTGAACCTAGATCTTGCCACTGCACTCCGGCCTGGATGACAGAGTGAGACTCCATCTCAAAAACAGAGAAAAGTTGTCAGAAATTATATTTTCTTCCAATTACAAAAAGCCTAAAAAAGACCTTTGAACAACAACTTGGATATGATTTTTTAAGGTAAGTTTTTTTTGTTTCATGAATGGCTGAGCTTCCCCATAACATATGACTCACTTTTGTCCCCAGCACAAGCTTTCAGAGCAAATACTGACTGCAAAAACAAAGTCTCACAAGTCTCCTGTGATGCCAAGTTCTTCCCAAGTTCCTCCGTCTCCCACTGCAGAGTGTGAGGGACTTCTTAAGGAACATGGCATTTCTACTGGGAGCAGATTTTTATCCCATATTCTAGGTTAAAAGGATTGGACAATATACGAGATATATATATATATATATATGTATACATATACACACACACACACATATATACATATAAACACACGCATATATATATATATATATACACACACACACATATATAAAGGATCTCTTTTGTTATTATGGATCATTCACTGGAGATGTTCACCATAAGCATGGCTTAATAGCAAAATATAAAATTAAAAATTTTGGTCTGCAAGGAGTTCCCCCATCTCCCTTGGACTGAAATGGCTTCATGAAAGTTGAAAAAAAAAAAAAAAGACAAACCTTGAAAACAACATCTGGTGTTGAGTTCAGAAATGAGAACCAGATATGCTTTATCATCCGTATTTCAGTTCACATGATTAGCCTGCCAGTATGGTGAAAGGGAAAAGGTTTACTAATTTAATTTGTGTTTTGTTTTGAAGAAATAATAGAAATATTTTCACTCTTAAAATAGTTATGGGTCCTTTTTTAAAGTATGCAGGCCATCCCTAAATATACATAAAGAATATTAGAATTAATATGATTTTTAAAATATGTTTAGCATTATTATAATCCACTTTAAAGGATTCTCTGAAGGGTTTCCTCTAAGTAGCAACAACCAAACGATATTAAGGGTGCATTTAAAAAGCTTTAAAAGCTGGTTTTCCAAGTAATTTATGGTAGATGGGTTCCTGAAAGAAAAAAACTAAGAGCAAATAACCATTTGATTCAGCAATCTCATTGTCAGTACACATCCCATTCAGAGTGCCATCATAAAAGAACAAGTCGAGTTTTTGTTTTTTGAAAACTTCAGTGATTTACATTATGAAAACGAAAAATTGAAGATATATGCAGACACTTTGGGGAAGGGGATTAGTACAATTATAAGTTGTTTAAAATTTACCAAGCACTATGGAGCCCTTTCTGTTTTACCTTTACAGTAAACTCAAAGAAAACCAAGCATATATTGTTATTCCTGTTAAGCAGATGATAATATTGAAATTGATAAACATGGTATGTTATACTTACTTTTATAGTGCTAACATGTACTAGAACCTAGAACTTCTGTACCTTAGATCTGGGCATTTTTTTAAAAATTATTTCATGCTATTTTTCTACAAGTTACTGAAAATCCAACAAGCTATGTCCCTGTATAGCTGGTTTTTGGGACCTAGAGTTTAACTGCACTCAATCCTAGAAAAATACACCTATGTGAAACATCAGAACTTAAAGACAAAGATATTAACATTGCACTTGGAATATCAATGTGGTAAAGAATCCCATAGATCTGGACCTCATGACTTTGATGGAATATTTTTATTAATGAATTTTTCTAATTGACTTTGTAAATAATTTCATTTTCTACTTTTTCATTTGTTTTACATGTAACCTTCTCCATAATCATTCCATTCCAAGCAATTCTATGGTTATAAAAATAGGTCCTTTATTCATTCAAGAACAGAAAAAGAATAAAATTGTCTAATGCATATTCAGCATTAATAAGATTTATTTCCTTTTTTTGAGGGGAGATGCAAAGACATCATTTAAAATATACTCTTAAATCTTACAAATGAGAAAATTGAAGTGGAATGTTTCTCTTTCTTAAAATGGAGCATTCTTTCTTTCTTTTTTCTTTTATTTATTTATTTTTTTGATATGGAGTCTCACTCTGTCGCCAAGCTGGAGTGGAATGGCACAATCTCAGCTCACTGTAACCTCCGATTCCCTGGTTCAAGCAATTCTCTTGCCTCAGCCTCCTGAGTAGCTGGGATTACAGACAAGTGCTACCATGCCCAGCTAATTTTTGTATTTTTAGTAGAGACAGGGTTTCACCATGTTGGCCAGGATGGTCTCAATCTCCTGACCTGGTGACCTGCCTGCCTTGGCCTCCCAAAGTGCTGGGATTATAGCCGTGAGCCACCATGCCCGGCCAAAATGGAGTTTTCTAAGTTTCATGGTGGCAGAGCCCTTTGGCTATCCTGCCAAGATCAGTCCTAAAGTCTTATTCCAGTACTAAATTATCAAGTTTCCCAAAATGACCATGAACCCTGGAACATTTTTTCCTTTTTCTTATTCCCTCCGTAATTAATATATAGTCAATCCTGTTACTTTATGTAGGATTAGCAATAATAACAGCAACAATAATAGATGTCCATCATTATTACAATTTATTATTTCCATGGAAAAGCAGAATACTTGAGAAAATCACAAAATAATCACAATATATACTATTGTTTTGTACTTTATAGTATATGCAGTTTGGCTTACTTCTCAAAACCAATTACATAAACAGTGAAGATTTTATTCTTCCAATGCTAATGAAATAGAAATAGGGGCTTGGAGAAGGTTAATAAGATATACAAGGTTACTGTATTAGTCCATTTTCACACTGCTCATAAAGACATACCCAAGACTGGGCAATTTACAAAAGAAAGGAGTTTATTGGACTTACAGTTCCTCGTGGCTGGGGAGGCCTCACAATCATGGAAGAAGGTTAAAGGCACATCTCATATGGTGGCAGACAAGAGAAGAGAGCTTGTGCAGGAAAACTCCCCCTTACAGTAACCATCAGATCTCGTGAGCCTTACTCACTATCACAAGAATAGCATGGGAAAGACCTGCCCCCATGACTCAATTACCTCCAACCAGGTTCCTTTCACAACATATGGGAATTCAAGATGAGATTTGGGTGGGGACACAGCCAAACCCTGTCATTTACATTGTCAGTAAATGACAGAGTTGGATTAAGAATCTAGGCATCTCTGCTCTGCTGCGGATTTGCAGGGGGTTCACGATATCAAGTTCCCTAATTCTGAAGCTACATTCACTTTAAATAGCCAGATGAGTCAAGTGTGGACCAGTCTGAAATTCAGAAGCTCTGAATTCTTCTGAGCACTCCCAGCCTGATTTAGTATTCTAAGGTGATATGACATCATAGTTTAGGGCATGGGCCCCAGAGGCATCCAGACCTTGTTTCACATCCCTAATTCCTCCACTTACTAGCTCGATGAGCTTGAGCAAGGTAGTTTCAGTCTCAGTTTTCTTCTCTGTAAATGGAGATTTTCATGAAACTTAAATGAGATAACAAATGTAAAATTCTTGGCCACAATAAGTGTTGCATTAATCATTGCTACTAGCATTTTACTTTATGCTCATTTCTCTTCTCCCATTAACGCTCTGCAACTGTTAATATGTATATAAAAGTTTCTTAGAGGAAAGAAAATGAAAACACATATAGGTTTCATCACACACAAAACACTGAACACACATGGAGACTCTTTCCCCCAGGGACTTACATTCTACCTCTTGGAATTACTGCAAAGTCCCTTGAATCCAGATGTAACATAGCATTTCTTTGGACTGAATAAATAATACATCTTGCTTAGCCATGTGACTCCATTTTTTAATCTCTAGGTTTTTGCTGTAATAAGAAATAAATTTAAATATTTACTAAAAAGCTGTACTGAATTCCATTATGAATTTTCTTGCTCAACAAATAGCTAAAATAGCATTATAATTTTAGATGAGGTAGTAAGGCATTGCTTTGTGAAAATATTTGACATTATTCAAAAGGAATGGAAATCAATGTTCTAGGGCATTTTAGCTTTCAAACTTTAATCAACATGAATTTATAAGATTTTTAAAAATTATATAGTCTTACATTGATTCATAGAGGTTAGAGGATTCCTTTTTATTTATGGTTAGATCCATTCCCTTGAATGTATGCCAAAAACTAAATTATGATCATATTTGATGAAATAGTCATAGTTAACAATAAATACTTTGTTTTTTCCTTGTCTCCTTTTGATTTTATCATCCCCCCTATTTAGGATTAAAATACAGTAACAACAAATGTAAATGTCAGAAACTTGATCCTAATTCTAAGTGATTCATTCAAAGACGCCCCAAACTCTTAATACGTATTTTAGATGGCAATGACTTCATTAACATACTTGTGTGCATAAATTCAGAATATTTCTGTATCTTTTAGCATGCTCTCAGTCACATGTAATAGAAAACTCAAAATGGCTTAAATATTAAGGACAATGTTGGCTTGCATAGCTGCTAATTCAGAGATAAGGTGGGCTTCAGGGAGGTATTAATCCAATGGTTCTGGCTGGGCTCCCCTACAGTTCTCTCAGCTCTGCTCTACTCCACATATAATATGGTCCTTGGGATGGAACAGGATAGCTTCAGAATATACAAGTTCTACACCAAAAATGACCACAGCCAAGAAAAGAAAATAAAGTACTTTCCAGTACTCTTTCATAACAGAGAAAAAACTTCTTTCTGATTTGTCCAGTAACTCCCCTCTTCTTCAAATACTTTTGGTTAAAATTGGGTTGCGTGCCCACTTGTGTACCAATACTTGATTCAGTGGGGTAGTGGAATCACAAAGGTCAGTTTCCCCTGAGGTACTTGACTACATGACAAAAGGGTGATGAAAGAAACAAAATTGGTATTCCTTGTAAATGAAAAGAGGAAAACACATACTACTTCACAGGCAACCATCAGCATTCTCTACCTCTTTCCATATCTACCCATTCATTTTTCTGAGGGGTATTAACTAAGTTAATTAAGTTTCTGAAACAGAAATACCCATTCTGACATGCCCTTGGAAGGAAAGTACAAATGTTTTAAATACTAAATAAATTGGCTTGAGGTAAGAAATTCTTATACTGCTGGCAACAGACCACATCACAAGTCATGGATGAGATTAAATTTTAAGTATAATGGGTGGGATAAGTCCAAGCATAAGAAAACAGGTCTCTGCAAGTACGTTTTATGCATATATAATGGGAAATATCACCCTTTAAAAATATAAACCAGAAGATTTCATACAAACTAACATGAAAAAAGAAAAATGAGGTTTCTTATGAAAAGCACACTGGGATTAGGCATGCAGGTGTGATCCAGTATTAAGATTCCTATAACACCAGTTACTACTATAATCCACAGATAAATTTCGGCCAGTGATCTGTCCAAAACCCAGTAACAAAACTTCTCTGGAAATGAGATTTTACTTACAAGAAGATTTACACACTACTGGTAATGTTTACTGTAATTTTACAAAATGCAAAATGAGGGATTTTCAGAGCTCTAATAAAACCAAAGGAAAATATTGACTTTCTGGAAATGATGTTTTGGAAATTAGTGACCGTATCAAAGTAGAAATTTTTTTTTAATTTTAGAATTTCTTTTTGATTCACTGCCCCCATAATTGTTCCAAACTGCTTGCAAATATCTGCCCCAAAGAAGCAACTGGGCATTATTCTAAAACTAATTTAAGGCTGAAAGGTGATTAATTATTTATGTTAATCGATTATTTCAGTATTCATAGAACAGATACTATATGCCTAGAAATAATTATAATACATACCTCCTGCCCTCAAAGAGTTTAAAATCTATTAGAGTCAATCCAAAACTTAGGAAACAATTAGTAAAGAATAAAACAGTGTATTTCATTAACTATTAAATTATGAATCAGGGCATATTGATGTAGAAAAGTCCAAATTAGGAAAACTGTGTGGTTTAGACAAATTACAGAAGTCATCACCATCACATCAACATCTATTAAACACTCATCATGGACCAGATATATTCCATATCAATTGATCTCATAATAATGCTGTAAATTCTAATCATTATCATCAATATTTTATAGACAAGGAAATTAAGGCTTGGAGCAATAAACTTGCTCAAAGTTAAAAAGTTAATAAAACGCAGGATTAGGCCGGGCACTCTGGCTTGCACATTTGAGAGGCTGAGGAGGTGGATCACCTATGATCAGGAGTTCAAGACCAGCCTGACCAACATGGCAAAACCCCGTCTCTATTAAAAATACAAAAATTAGCTGGACTTGGTGGTGCGCACCTGTGCCCCAGCTACTTGGGAGGGTGAGGCAGGGAGAGTCGCTTGAACCTGGGAGGCAGAAGTTGCAGTGAGCTGAGATCTCCCCAGTGCATTCCAGCCTGGGCAACAGAGCAAGATTCCATCTCAAAAAAAAAAAAAGCAGGATTAGGAATTGAGCACATATAGTCAAATACTAGAATCTAGTTGCTTAGCTACTAAGGTATTTTGCCTTCAGGAGTAAGACAAATTTGGTAAGCACTTGCAGACTTAGCAGTCCTTAATCAAGAAGGAGATTGAAGGGCATTTTAGGAAGGAGGACCAATATAAGTGAAAGCATAGTCACTGAAGTGCATGGTAGGTATTGTGGTCCTTAAAGTAATTGCCCAGACTGAATCTAAAGTATGGATAAGGTAGTAAGGGGAGAAAATATTGGAAAAATCTAGTGGGGTTGGATTATAGAGGTTAATAAAAGCATTGAGCAGTTTTGTAAAACAATTTCTCAGTATAAAATAACTGTGCAAACTGTCTCATCTCCTCTCTTTCTCATCTTCAACTGCATTTTTAAACTCAAAGCACTTGAAATGAATCACCAGGGACCACCCAACATCTTTCAGATGTTTAGATTAAACTCAAAAGTGTAGACGTGTTCTTAATAGCTAAAAGGTTAATACTTTTCAAATCCTGGGTCAGACTACCCCAGGGAGAAAGCAAGAGATATTCTGATGACCTGGAAATCCCACAGGCCCCAGGTGGCTTCCCAGGACTGCTCCTTCACATTCCATACATTTTGCAGTCTGGCATTGCCATGTCAGCTTGAAATGGAATGCAGACTTACACCATGTCAGAGTCGAAGTTCTCCTCATAAACTGAAATGGAAAGAGCTCCAAAACTGAAATAGTTTATACATACAAGTTTATAAACATGTGGGTAACCTCTAGAAAAAAAAAAAAGGTCATTGTGATTGCCCCTGGGAAAGGTAGCTGGGAGGCTGGAGGACATTGGAAGAGAAGAAATGTATTTTTCCCTGTCACCTTGTATTTTTTCCATTCAGAAGGATATATATGTTTTATTAAGTATTCAAAAATTTGTATATTGAGAGTGAATTAGCTTTCTATTGAAGATTATGTTCAAGTTACCTCAAAATCTCCCAATTTTCAGGTGAAACTCCTCTAGTTTCTAGTTTGTAATACCCTTGTCATCCTGGTTAAGTCGTCTCTGGTTTGTTGCAGTGGATCAAAAATTTTGGCACTGGAAAGTAGACATAGCATTATAGGTATTGTCTGGTTCAAAAGAGAATAGAACTGTACCATATCTCTTAGTTGCTATAACTTTATCTATGCAGCCTCAACATTTAATTAGTTGTTTTGGCAGCTACAAATCTCTGTTGACTCATATTGTGATTGCAGTCAACTGAAACCCCCAAGTTCCATTAAAGCTCATCTTCTTCAACTTGTGTTTCCAGTTAGATATTCGAACTTTATATCTATCCCTGTTAAATCTCACTGTGTTTATACTGGCCCATTATTTCTTTTTTTTTTTTTTTTTTTTTTTTTTTGAGACGGAGTCTTGCTCTGTCACCCAGGCTGGAGTGCAGTGGCGTGATCTCAGCTCACTGCAAGCTCCACCTCCCGGGTTCACGCCATTCTCCTGCCTCAGCCTCCCGAGTAGCTGGGACTACAGGCGCCCGCCACTGTGCCCGGCTAATTTTTTGTATTTTTAGTAGAGATGGGGTTTCACCGTGGTCTCGATCTCCTGACCTTGTGATCCGCCCGCCTGGGCCTCCCATAGTGCTGGGATTACAGGCGTGAGCCACCATGCCCGGCCATACTGGCCCATTATTTCAACCTGTCAAGGTCTCTTTTTGGATTTGATTCTAGAACTCTTTCTTCTTGATTTCTGTCTCATAAATTTGATGTATATGTCATTCATTCTTTCCTCCAGGCCACTAATAAACAAGCAAAATAGAAAAGGAACCTAGCTTCAGGCTGCTAGTGCCCTGTCTCTAGGTTTCAAGATTAAAGCTGGTCCTTCAATATTTTTTTGATAATAGTCATCTACTTGTCACCGATCCACCCAACTCCATTGTCAGATTTCTTACTTTGTCTTCCAGAATACTGTGAAAAAATTATTGGATTCTTTGCTGAAATTAAAATAAACTAACAAGTACTTGGATGGATTTTATTGGATGTAGATGGGTTATACGAAAAATCTCTGTGTGTGTATACATGTGCACATGTATGCATGTACATATTAATATGTGCTTTCCTTGGAGGTGGATATATAGTTTTCACTGGATTTTCAGAAATTTTCCTGAAATAAAAAGATTTAAAACCATTAATGTAGTCAATTCTATTGCGATATAATATATTAAAAATTCTCTGTTTGAAATTTCCAGTGATTCTTATTTACTGAGTGCCTACTTTGTGTCAGGACTGCTTTAGATATCATGGATCCAGATGTGAACAAAATAGACCAAGCTTCTGCCCTCACTGAGCTTACATTCTAGTGAGGAAGAACACTAGGTCATTACGACCAAGATGAATAAGAAAATATGTAGTATGTTTTATAGTGATAAGTGCTAAAGAGCAAAAATTAAGCAGAGCAGCATGTATAAGATGGCTTCCTCAATGAGAAGTTGACATGTAAAGACCTCGAAGAACTAAGGTGACTTGAGGGAAGAAGATCCCAGGCAAAGCAAGGGCAAAGCACCCTGAGAGCAAAATTCTTACCCTACCCAACAAGCAGCAAGCCTGTGTCAGAGTAACCCAAAGGGAAGCAGGTAGAGATGAGTTACGAGAGGATGTGGTTAGAGGAGCCAAAATGGTTTTCCACTAGGGATGGTATTGCCATCTCCAGTGCAGTTGGAAGTACATTGGGAACATTTTTTCATTGTTACATGAATACGGGGTTTTACAGGCACTTGGGGCAAGCAGGGATATCAAAAATCTTACAACCAGAAGGACATTTTCACATTAAAAACTCTTGTCCAGGCCGGGCGCAGTGGCTCACGCCTGTAATCCCAGCACTTTGGGAGGCCGAGGTGGATGGATCACAAGGTCAGGAGATCGAGACCATCCTGGTTAACACGGTGAAACCCCGTCTCTACTAAAAACACAAAAAATTAGCCAGGCGTGGTGGCGGGCGCCTGTAGTCCCAGCTACTCGGGAGGCTGAGGCAGGAGAATGGCGTGAACCCAGGAGGCGGAGCTTGCAGTGAGCCCACATCGCGCCACTGCACTCTAGCCTGGGCAACAGAGTGAGACTCAACTCAAAAAAAAAAGTAAAAATAAAAAATAAATAAATAAAAGTAAAAACTCTTGTCCAAAATGTAAACAACATCCTCCCTGAGAGACTTAACAACTTAAGCCATCTTTTAAACCCTGGATTTTACTCTGAATGAGATGGGAAGCCATTACCGGCCTCTGTACAGAAGAATGAATGGTCTAACTTATATTTTTTGAGACTCAGTCTAGCCATTGTGTCAGAAGTTAGGGAGACCAAGACAGAAGCACAGAGTACAGTTAAGAGGCCATCACCATCATCCATGCAAGAGATGGTGATGGCTAATGATGCCTTCCTACCAGGTTGGTAGGAAGGAGATGATAACTGATAGATTCTGCATAAATGCTTAAGATAGAGTCAGTAAGTATTAGAAGTATTGGAAGTGGAGTGTGAGAGAGAGAAGTAGAGAATGAATCCAAGATTTGTGGCCTGGATAATTGGAAAGACAGAATTATCATTTGTTGCCATGATTGAACACACGGGGAGAAAAGATTTGGTTGGAGTGGAGGGATTAGATGGAAAAACCACATCAGGCAGCTACTTAGATTAATAGACAGATGTAAGTGTATAAGGATATGCATTGTATATAGATACAGTTGTAGAGAGATGAGGATATGGATATGGGTATTGACATGGTCAAAAATATAGATATAGAGATACACAAATGTGGAAAGACTTCTAAAAGAAACCAAAACTATTATATCAGCTATCTCTAGTTTTTCAGGTCATTGATGAATTTTTTTTCTTATATGTTTTCTAAATTATTTACATTAAACATGTCTTAATTTTGTGAAATGTATAATTTATTTTGAATACCCACTACTTCATAAAGCTCACTTGTAACAGAACTCTAATTTAATTTTTCTTTTTACTAGGCTCTTTCTCCAACTCTTTACTCATCAGCTACCAACCGATTCCTCACTTTATTGGGGGATTCTGCTTTGGGAGATTTTAGATTTCAGCCTTACTTTACTATAGTCATTATAACCATGCAATGTATTTTCAGACCCCCAGGATTTTCATTCCAAAGAGAAACAATGGAATTGTTAGCAGCTGGATGCTCTTTGAAAGAGCAAGCTGCACATATTTACTAGAGCTTTGGGGGATTGTAGGAGGAGAGAAAGAATTGTCACTTGGATCCCCTTTGCTGGCAGCACCTCAAAGGTTACCAGGTGAGAACAGCAGTACCCAGCTGCCCTAAAAAGCCGAAGAGAGTGAAATGTAAAACTTGAATTGCCTCTCTCTTCTCATTATGTATTATTTGTCAATCATGGATAAAAGGTGGTTTTTGCCCTCCAGCTGTTAGCCCTGGGGTACATATATCACTCAGTGGTGCCACTTTCTTGCAGAACATTGCAAGAAAAATCAATGATTGCACATTTCTTTGAAAGGAAAGGTGGGCTTTTTCCCTCATTTTAAAATGTTTTTATTTTAACCTGATAGTTTAAACTAAGAAGGCAAAAGTCACTTGGGGAAAAAAAGAAAAAACCATAAACTTTGTTCTCATGGTGATGGACAACTTTAATGCCTATTTGAACACATATGAGGAACTTTTTCCCTCTTCCTATTCGAGCCAAAATATCTGAAATTTACTAGATTACTGCAGCTTGGTGGGAGAGGGATATTGTACTGCTTTACCAAGTACTGACCTTGCCAATGAGCAATAAAAGGCATCCTATCACTCAGTGTGAAACACAGACCTTTAAAAATAGATTCATTTTGATGCCCGCTTTCCACTTATTTTTACAATATTAAAACACATTGCCCTCCTGTGTACATTTTATTCATGTGATACAGAAAGTGCTTTCAAATATTTTTAGCACCATTTTAGGATAAATAACTTTTTATGCTACTATGAAGTGAAGACATAAAGCTCAGGTATATTTTAAGTTCATGTAATAAATACACATTAGGCCATATTACACAAGTCTTTCTGTCTAATGTTCTTCAACAAAACACCAAAGCATCATGTAAATTATTCAAGCACATTCATATTAGACGCTCTTCAGCATCTATTTATTTCTAAAGTTTGCACCTTTGGTTTCCATAAAGAAGAAAAGTCCCAGTGGAGGCAATGCTGAACTTTTCTTAAGATTTACTAAACCAGGAAAGTGTAGCAAAAGCATTGCTAGTCACAGCTTTTATTCTTTTATAAGCTAAATACCATTCACAAAACAATTAGAAACTGTGATAAATGTATGTATTTTACAGGTAAATCAAAATGCTAACATAATAGATTACCTGCAATAAAACGGAGCCTGTTGAAGTAAGATAGAACATTTTCTCCCTCTCGTTCTCTTTTTTCTTTGTCTCATAATTCCAGCTAGGAACAGAAGGTGTTGTCAATTTTAAAAATTCAACAGTGGAAGCCCCAGCAAGACAAGCTTCCCTCTCGAGCAGTAATTTACATGGAAATGTGAGGTGACTGAATCTGTTGTAAATTTTACAGAACATAGGTTTGAACAGTGAGCACAGTTTCATAGTTTCGACCCAGCTATTTCCTCAAGCTTCTTAGTTTCCATGGGCAGGTTGGGCACCCTGCTATACACTCAGGATCAATCGGAAATAAAACCACTGAGAGAGCCCCAGCGGAAGGCACAGAGCTGCCCAGGCTTCTGGCTGAAGCTGTGCAAGGCCATGACATTTCATATGGTTTCCATCTGAAGCTATGAAGGACTGGGGTTTGTCTGTCTGTACCTATGAATGTATGCATATGGGCTTCCACCTCGGCTGGTTATGATTTATGCCTAACTCACTCCAGGCTCCATGGAAATGAACTTCGGTGAACTTCATACAAGTTCAATATTTGTAACCAAACCTGAAATTCCAGGAGTTTTGTCTGGGATTCAATTTCAAAATGAGGACATATCTTTCCAAGGTACATGCTTCCAGCTATTGTTGATTATTTGGCCTCAATATCTGTTAATTTTAATATTGTGCATTCCTGTGTAACTAGAATAACTTCAGATAATTGAAACTTACAGGACTAGCCCTGTGTGGTGGGGTAGTTGTAGAACACCCTAAATTTCAAAGCATATTCCATAAAGGAGCTTCCAAATAATGAGGATTCTGTGGTGGTCCTTGGCAACAAACATTTATTAGTCACTTATAACTATCCTCTTTTCTTTCCATACCTCTACCTCATCCCTAACCCACTCTATCAAAAATGAGATGAGAAGTCAGCCAGACTGAATGGTTGCTGCTCCTTTGTTGATTCTGAATTCCCAACTTTCTGCCTTTATTTTTGTGGCTTTTACCTGGAATAGCTTCTCTCCTTTTGCCATATGCATATAACCGCTCTAATCATAAGGCCCAGTTTACAGCTTCTTCATCCAGGGAGGCTTTCCTGACTCTGTTAATTGGAAATAACCTTTTATCTGTATTTTCATAACTGTATGGAGTGGCAAAATCATCATGATGTATATACATATATTATCTCCCACCCTAGGCCATAGGATGCTTGAGGGCAGGACTAATGAATCTTACTATTATTCAATTGTTAGAAAGATGACTTAGTCAATTTATACTTATTGAAAGAAGAGAGTAAATGAATCAATAAATGAATGTTCATTGTATTCAAATATAAAGTAACAGGAGAACTTGAACATATCCTTTAAGTCCCATAAGAGAAGAATGGAGTGAAAGACAGTATTTAAGGAAGAAAGATATTTTCAGGGCCCTTATTGCTCTTGTGTATTGTCTAGTTAATGCTAACCTCTTCGCCACTGTCAGTCCTAGAAGGGCAAGCATTTCATTGTCCTCATTCACTGCTACATCCCCAGCCCCCAGCATAGTAATTGGCACATGACAGACACTCAATGCATGTTTGCTAAATAAATTACATAGGGAATTTTTTAGAGCAAAGGCTCGTTATAGAGAGGGAAATTTTTGAGGCATTAAAAGAAGATAATACAAACAAAACAAAACCTAAAGCATCTTAAGTCAAATCACTAAAAATGGTCTCCAAATTTCTCTGTGTCTGACCTCGTCTGAGCCTCACTGAGCTTTGAGCTCTCCCCCTGTACAATGTCAAGCCAGGGAGGCAGCCATAAGTGATAATCTATGTAAACTCAACCACTCTCTCATTACCCCAGAGTAGATTGTAAAAACTGATACTGCCTCTTGAGAGTTCTTTTGGAGAGCACTCTCTACTTCCAAAGTAGCTCCCAAACTTGATAAGATCCAAATCTTTGGAGGAAAGATTAACATAGAACCCAGTGGGGATTTTTAATCACATTTAAGCAAGATAACGCGTTATCGGAGTGAAAATTAATCCACACTTCTAGACTATGTTACTTGTGCAACTTGACCCATGGAAATTCATTTAACTAGTTATCTGGTCCTTTTCATGTCATAGGCTTTACTGTCTTGACATCTAAATATTTTTAATTTATGAGTATTCAAATGGCTCTTGATTATGAGAGCTAAAATTTTATTATTATTTCTTGCTTCATAAAGTAAGTAAAACAGTCAAACTCCTAAAGGGAGTATATCAGAATCACATTTCCAATTAGAACTGCAGTTTTATAACATCAGGTATCCAAAGCTGACAACACAAACAAATTCATTTAGTTCTGCATTCAAAATTTAATATCAGCTGGAAGAAATCTACATAAAATTACATAGTGTCCTACCTTTATTCAAAGAGATGAAGAATGGTTGATGCATATTTTAATGAACTTTGTAAAACAACTAATCTCTCGCTTGAAATTGCTCACATTTCCAGACAGTTCTCGTGACTTTTTTTTTTTGAGACAGAGTCTCACTCTGTCGCCCAGGCTGGAGTGCAGTGGCGTGATCTCGGCTCACGGCAAGTTCCGCCTCCCGGGTTCACGCCATTCTCCTGCCTCAGCCTCCCGAGTAGCTGGGATTACAGGCGACCGCCACCATGCCTGGCTAATTTTTTGTATTTTTAGTAGAGACGTGGTTTCACTGTGTTAGCCAGGATGGTCTCAATCTCCTGACCTCGTGATCCGCCAGCCTTGACCTCCCAAAGTGCTGGGATTACAGGCGTGAGCCACCTTGCCCGGCCAGTTCTTGTGACTTTTGATGGCATCAGATCCTATTTAAAAATAGACAAAAACGTTATTTATAGTGCTAACTATTCACATCTCTTTCCACAAATGATTTTAAATGGAATTCTCATTGATATTTCATTAGAAAAAGAATAGGGAGGATTATCTTCACTTAACAAACTTTATTTACCTGGTTAATGGAAATGAAAATTATAAATACGATGACAGGAAAAAGAGCTTAAGACTTTCTAATACTTCAAATACGTTAATTCGATAAGCATTATTCACATGTTAACTACTCAGCCAGGAAACGTTTCTCAACCACTAATATGAAATGAGGAACGCACAGCAAAAAGTGGTTTGTACCCAGTTTCATGCAAATTATTGCAGGTGAATTACTGATTATTTTTATTTACTTATTATAAAGAAAGGCAGTTCCAAAAGATTTATCTATTAACTTGGCTTGATACTGTTTATAATTATAATTATAATAGCTATCAAATTCTATAAAGTTGTTTTAAAAGCATATTAATATCACATTCTCAAACTTCTTCATTTTTACAATATCAAGCGCTAACAGGTGACAGTATAAACAAATTCATTTAGTTCAACCATTTATTTTACTTTAAAATGTCATAATATAATTCCAGCACTTTGTGTATGATATGCATATGCAAACTACTCATAGGATGAATTCTAATCTCCAAATACAAACTATAATTACCTACATAATTGCATTTCTGAGTTGGACGAGTACAGTAAAATAGCTTCAGAATTCTGATGAGAAAAGCCTTCACTCAATATTTTAGGTCTTTTTTTTTTTTTAATGAGACAGGGTCTCTCTGTCAGGGTTGTTGAGGCTGCGGTGAGCTGTGATCAGGCCACTGTATCCCTGACCTCCTAGGTTCACGTGATCCTCCCACCTCACCCCCAGAAGTAACTAGGACTACAGGTGCACACCACAACCCCTAGTTAATTTTTATATTTTTTGTAGAGACAGGGTTTTGCCATGTTGCCCAGGCTGGTCTCAAACTCTTAGACTCAGCAGTCCGACTGCCTCAGCCTCCCAAAGTGCTAGGATTACAGGCATGAGCCACCATGCCCAGTTAACATTTTAGGTCATTCTTAACTTTCTTTGAAAACACAAAATGGCTAATTTAGTGATGAATTTAAATATAATTATATCTTCTAAAGTGTTACATTAGTCAATACATGACAAATAGTCACAAAATCAGCATTTCTTCTCTACATTCATTTACTATTAGAAATGTGATGAATAGGGACATAGATGAAGCTGGAAACCATCATTCTCAGCAAACTAACATAAGAACAGAAAACCAAACACTGTGTGTTCACACTCATAAGTGGGAGTTGAACAATGAGAACACATGGACACAGGGAGGGGAACATCACACACCAGGGCCTGTTGGGGGGTGGGGGGCTAGGGGAGGGATAGCATTAGGAAAAATACCTAATATAGATGACGGGTTGATGGGTGCAGCAAACCACAATGGGACGTGTATACCTATGTAACAAACCTGCACGTTCTGCACATGTACCCCAGAACTTAAAGTATAATAATAAAAAAAGGGAACTGTAATAAACAACAAAAAACTGAAGAAAAAACAAAGAAAGAAATGTGATGAATAGGCCAAAACTATGTTATTACATATTCCCTGTATTTTGGAAATCAAAACAAACCTATGATGTTGGCAGGGCAGGCATTTTCCCTCCTTTTTTAAATATGAGAAATCTGAGACATAGCCTGAGTTCCTCAAGATCACATAGTTAGTAAGAAGAAGACACAGAGAGCTACGTTAGAGAGAAAGGATCTGTCAGCAAAAAATTAATGAAACATTATGCATTTAGGTCAGCCAGAACTACTACCTCCATTTTCAATATTTTTTTCCAAGAACCCTGATTTGCTTTCTATGGATCACCCTAATTTGTTTTCCCTGTACTTATATGGTAGCATGTCCTCCACATGTGACCAGTTTATTCCAATCAGATTTCTATTTTCCATTGTCCTCAGATTCAAGTGCTGGCATATCCTTACACAGTTCTTTTTAGGTTGTCAATCAAAGGTCCTACAACTCTTCCTTTTGAAGCACTTTGTACCTCAGAGAAATCAGAAGGCCAGAAACAAAATTCTACCAGGTCAAAAACATGTTCTAGGAAGAAACTTGCTTTGTATATAGTCATTCAACAAACATTCACTGATTTTTACCATATATCTGACAACGGCTGAGGACATCACTCCCTAGTCAACAGATAACTATAGTGTACCATGGTATGTGCTCTAATAGAAGCAATACATTAGAGAGCTCCCAGGAGGGGGTTAGAAAACACTGAGGAGGTTAGGGAAGGCTAACAGAGAAGAGAACAATTGAGACAGCCATCAGAAGACGAAAAGGAATCAGCAAGTAAAGAAAGTAAAGAGCAATTCGGGCAAAGAACAGGGCTGGCCGGCCTGGTGTGAAACTGATAAGAATCTGACACCCTCTGGTAGAATGAGATAGGTCCCACAGAGCAGGAATTTAGGATAGGTCAGATGACTTGTAAATCCAAATTTTATGCCATATTAAAAACCTGCCCTCGTTCCTGAGGTAAAGGTGAGTCACTGAAGGTTTTTAAGCTGTAGTGTGCTTAGACTTGCATTTTAGAACGATCATTCTGGGGGCATATAACGAAAGGGAGAAGAAGACTGTAGAGAATTTGAGGAACTTTTTATACCCCCATTGTGAGAAGATGAAATTCTCAACTTTTGTGGTGGGAGGGGCAAAAAGGAGGAGATAAAGAGACAAGAAATATTCGAAAAATAGACTCATCTTATGCCTTGGTAAGGAAAGTGAGTCAGTGAGGATTCCAAGGTCTCCAGCCTGGCTGTTGGTGAGTGCCGACAGCATCAGCATAAAGAGAGAGAGAGAAAGAGAGAGAACTCAGGAGCTGGTCTAAGAGACAAGACACTGAGTTGTGTTACAGCACTATGATCAAGCTTGCTTGTGTCCAGATTGTTCTTCCAAGTCAATATTATAGCTGAAATTTTTTAAAAAGAAAAAGTTACCTCTTAGAGACCTGTCAAGAGTGTAAATTACTTGAACACTAAGTCTGTGGGCTGTCTTTTCTGAGCCTGGCTTCAGTTTCTCTATGTACTCCATTTCTAGAATATTAGTAGGCACCAGAGAAAGAATCCACTGTTATCTTCCAAATCAGCATCTTGGCCTCGCGGGGAAAGAGCCCACCCAGCAGGTTTTTAATTGCCTGTATAGCTAACCATTCAAATATCTTTGCTGTCTTCTCTTTTTTTGAATGGCATGACTCATCAGACCACCAGGTAAAAAGCCCCAGGTCAGCAACCCAGCAGCCAGGGAGTGCATACATAATGGTTCTTAAAGTCTCTCATTTCAAGTTTTTGTAGTTTGCTCTTGCCAAGCAGAAAGCAACTTTTACATAGTACAGATTTATTGAGATACCACAAGCCTCACCCAGTTGAGATTAAGCCTAATATGAAAATACAAATTGGTTTTCCATGCTAAGAAAACCAAAGCTATGGACATTTCCTCAGAGCCCAATATTTCACCATATGGACTAAAGCCTCTGTCTTAGTTGTAGGTCATATGTCAACAGGAGAGTTGTTTATTTTTTTAACCATGTGTCACATGACCCAACTACATCATCTGTAGTAATTTTCTGGAGTGAACCAGACAACTAGGACCCTCTTTCAAACACAAATCCCGAGAGAAGGTCAAATTGGCAGCTGTTGTGTTTCTCTGAATGGGCTGTTGTAATTTAAATGTCTCATTCCATGGGGAGCTAAGGAAAGTGACATAACCCAGAAGAAGCTCGGAAGTGAGAGTGTTTGTGGGGGTGGCTGCCCTCCTATCCTGAGTCTCTGGAGTCAATGAATGTGCTTCAGGAGTAGTCCTAGGAGCTCAGGACAAGCTTCTTGGGAGGTTTCTTTAAAAGGAAAAGAGAAGTTAGGCTGCAAATAGGTGGATATGATGGCAGGCTGTTCTTAATATTGTCTTCCTCAGAAAGTATTTTTAAGTAACTAATTATAGATGTCTGTTATGTTACATTCTCTATTGTGAGAAAAGAGGAAGTTGGACATCTTGAACCAAATCCGTAATACAATGAATGGAAGGCGTCTAGACAGCAGTAACAGGCAAAGATCAAGCTGAGTCTAGTAAACTGCTTTAACTCAGCCAAGAAGAATATCACTAAGCACTCCCTAATTCCTTTCTTTCTTTTCTTTTCTTTTCTTTTCTTTTTTTTTTTTAAGTAGAGTTTGTTACAAAGGACCTAAAACCAGACATGCAAACTATCACTTCAATGTGGTGGTCAAATTTTCTCATGAAGTGTGGATCTTAATTTTTATTCTAAAATTTCAATCTTTAAACTGTACACTGAATCAGTTTTTCTATACACTAAACGGTATCATTCATCTAGCATTCAAGAATGCCTAATATACTTGGTTTGTTGTATCATACTCCAAGTGGCACAATGCTATATTAAAACCCTTAAGGCATAACTCCTTTTTTGCTTTTTTTTTTTTTTTTTTTTGAGATGGAGTCTTGCTCTGTCACCCAGGCTGGAGTGCAGTGGCGTGACTCGGCTCACTGCAACCTCCACCTCCTGGGTTTAAGCGATTCTACTGCTTCAGACTCCCAAGTAGCTTGGGTTACAGGTGACCGCCACCATACTCAGCTAACTTTTTTGTATTTTTAGTAGACAGCGGGTTTCACCATGTTGGCCAGGCTGGCGTTGAACTCCTGACCTAAAGTGATCTGCCTGACTTGGTCCCCCAAAGTGCTAGGATTACAGGCATGAGCCACCACACCCCACCAGGCATAACTCTTAATATTGGCTGAATACTCAAGGTAGGATTTTTACTACTTATTAATATTTTTTGAAGAAAACTAATTAGCATGATCTTTTGGTTGGGCTAAGAGCATGTTATAAATTAATATTTTATTAATTACATTGAACAGTAGTGTGTACAATAAATATCTTGGATATTTTCTAGTTAAAGAATTTCACTTGTAAGATTAAGATTGCTATTAAAGCTAACATTTATGATAGGATCATAATAAGATTAAGAAAGTTTTTAAAGACTCTGCCTCTGTAAAAGCATAAAGTTACTGAGTGAAAGGGTCTAATGATTATGGTATAATGTCATTTGCCATATTCCACACCTTACCATGAACTCTGAGTTTATATTCCAAGTGATATCTAGTACCAATTTCAATTCCAAATGATCTAGAAGTTACTCATATTTAATCATTTATGTTATATATTGAACCAATTTCTCATCCTCTGTGAGGACTGCCTCTTAAGTTTTATAAACCTGAAATTTCCCCCTAGGGCCATGTCCATCTGTACCCAAGTGCTCTGCGTTTCTTGGATCAAGGTGTTCTATTTACAGGCTTTGAATTGCCATGCAGCGTCCATTGATTTCAGATCATGGGTGGAAGTTTGGATAAAGAAGTCATTATCACTTGCCTGTGGACCTCCGTAGACATGGGGTCTCATCCTACTCTGTTCCTACCCTCATTTGACTCTCAAATCCAGGACTACTTCTTTAGCATAGCTTGGCAGTGGAGCACACCCAACGAAGCTTTAATGACTGATTCCAAAATGATGATTTCAGAGTAAGCATGGGAATCTCATCAGGCCTTCATCTGGAGCTCTTTTCCAAAGTAAATAGTTAGGTAGGTAGTCTGCTCTCATGGAGGTGAAGCATAGCTCCCTGCTAAGCTTGTCCTATAGTAGCTTCTTTCCAAAGGGCGCTATTTTTGTTTGCTGGACTCAGAATTGGAACAGAGGAGGAGGAGCGAGATGGCCAAATGGAAACCTCTACTGATTGTCCTCCCCATAGAACGCTAAATTGAATAATTGCCCACACAAAAAAGCACCTTCATAATATCCAAAAATCAGGTGAGTGACCACGGTACCTGGTTTTAACCTCAGATCACTGAAAGAGGCACTTAAGAAGATAGAAAAGACAGCCTTGAATTGCTGACACCACCCTACCCTCAACTCCCAGCAGCTGCCATGTGGTGCTGAGAGAAGATCTGTGCTCTTGGTGGGGAGAGTGCAGTGATTGTGGGACTTAGCATTGGAACTCATTGCTGCCCTGTCAGAAAAGCAACACTGTATAGAACTTAGTCAATGCCTATGGAGGGAGCATATACACCAGCCCTAGCCAGAGTGGACTCACCCATCCCAGTTGTTGGACCCTTTCTTCTAGCAAGCCCCACCACCATGGGCTAAGATGCTATGGGGTCCTAAGTAAACTTGAAAGACAGTCTAGGCCAAGAGGACTGCAATTCCTTGGCAAGTCCTGGTGCTGTGCTGGACTCGAGAAAGTAGACTTGGGGAACACGTGACCCAGCGAGACACTGGCTAGGACAGCCGAGGGTGTGCTTGCACCACCACTCCCAAAACCCCAGGTAGCACAGCTCACAGCTCTGGGAGAGACTTCTTTCTGCTTAAAATGAGGAGAAGGAAGAATAAAGAGGACTTTGTCTTGTAACTTGGATACCAGCTCAACCACAGTAGGATAGAGCACTAGCCGGAGACTTGAGGCTCCCATTCCAGGCCCTAGCTCCTAATGTTATTTCTAGACACACCCTGGGCCAGAAGAGAACCAGCTGCCTTAAAGAGAAGGACTCAGTCCTGCCACAATTCATTAACTACTGACTAAAAAGCCCTTTGGCCCTGCATAGTTAGCAGTGGTAGCTAGACAGTACTTGCTATGGGCCTTGGGTGAGATTCAGAGACATGCTGGCTTCAAGTGTGACTCAGCACATCCCCAGCTATGCTGGCTATGATGAGAGACTCCTTCTGCTTGAGAAAAGGAGGGGGAAGAGTAAAGCCGACTTTGTCTTGAAGCTTAGGTACCATATTGGCCACAGAGGGATAGAGAACCAAGTGGGCTCTTGGGGTCCATGATTCGAGGCCTTGGCACATGGATGGTATTACTGGACTTTTCCTGGGCTAGAGGGGAGCACTGTCCTGAAGGGAGAGTCCCAGGCTCAACAGTATTCATCACAAGCTGACTGAAGGGTCCTTGGGCCTTGAGTGAACACTGATGTATTTGCTGCAGGCCTGGGGTGGTGGTGGGTCCTGGTTTTCTTTCTACTTTGGCTTTGTTTTTATTCTCTAGGTCTTGGCTTAACCTGGTCCCTGCCTCTCACTGCTTAAATAGAGTAGTTTAAAGAATACTGATTAATGGATTAATATCAAATTGAAAGGAGCACTTCCAAAACCTGTGCAGAGTATCTCTCTTGTTCTGTTCTCATATTCATCTATTCCAATGACTTGGAGAGGACAGTGTGCTTGTCAAATTTTCAAACTCTATACAGTAGAACTGACATTAATATATTTTATATTTATTCAGTGCTTTGCCATTTCAAAAAATTTCAGGATATGGTATCTCATTTGATTCCAGGAATGATAGGCACAGATGAAAAGATCAATTTCAGTTCAGTATGAAGGACAGCTTTCCATAAATTGGCCTGTCCAAATGAAACACCAAGCTTCACAAAGAAGTAAGCTCCACACAGTGAAGACAGTTTTAGTAAACAGTAAAAGTTGACTCTCAGGGATTTTGTGGAAAGATCCTTGGTTTGAATGAAAGCTTGGATTAAATGGCTGTGTGTGTGTATGTGAGAGAGAGAGAAGAGAAATACACATTAATTTAAATATATTATCTAGGGAGAGAGAACAATTGAGAACACAGGCTACTGTTTTCTTAAAACCTTTGTTAAGATAACTCCCAAATAGACTTTTAATATAGGACCTTAATCACATGTAGTTGAACAATTCAACGTTTTTAAGGTTTTATTTCAAAAGTTCAAGAAGTCTGAAGTAGTATAGGTCTAGATCATGGTTTCTGGATTACACCAGGGGTGCTGACTCTTCTAAAGATGAAATAGGCCCCAAACTGAAGTGTTAATGAGAATATCTGATGGTTTAAGGGCAAGTGGAAGCAAGATGCATGTGAGGACTGAAGACATCACACAGGCATAGAAAGAAGGATGCGAGTGTGGAGAGCAGCAGCCTGCAGAAAAAGCTGGGGTGGCCAGTTGAAGGGAGTGGATATCAAACCAGCATAGGGCAGGGCTAGCATGAGGTCACTGCCCTACTCAATTAGAAGCAGAAGAATTAAACCAAATACCAGAACTGGTTTGCTTTGCTTTTTCCATAGTTGGACTAAATGCCTCCCTTCATGACTCCAAGACCAGCTCCAGTGGAATGTTTTAGTGAAATGCTCACTTGGCTTAGTTTAACTTTGCCTTAAAAAATGATCATTCCATGACTTCTTTGAAAATTTTGTTTAATGATTTTGTGATACTGGGGCAGGTGGGGCAAGAAAGGAACAGTATAAAGGATTTGGCAACTGAATAGACCAGAGTAAAATATTATTCAGTGTGAGCTTCTGTTCTTGTAAGAACAGAAAAATATCCTCTTAAATTTTTTTTTATTATTTGAATAATATTAAACTAAATGCTTATAATAAAGTTAGGCAGAAACATTTAGAAATTATAATTATAATCCAGTTTATTTGTTTAAGAAACACTTGTATGCTATATACCAGGCGTTGTGCTTGGAACAAGTTTTTAAAAAGTAATTTTTAAAGCCCTTACAACCTATTCAGCACACACACAAACACAACTGCATAATTTTAATTCTTTTTCAGTTTGATAGTAGTAATCTTCCCTTGGGCCAACACATTTTCTTTTAGATTCCACTGAGGTGGTTTTTTTTTTTAAGGTAGTATGTAATATTTTAATCTCTTGCCATCTTTCATATTTGACTCATCAAGAAAAGGTTGTGAAAAGTCTTAGTTTGCCCTTTTTTTATCTTACATTTTTTTTAATCTTACATCTGCATTGCCACTGACAGGAATGCCTTAGTAATATTCCTAGAGATTCCAGATGTTCTTCAAATTTTACCGTATGCCTGCCACTTGGAAAGTGTTCAGTATAGTATATGTTGCTTTTTTTTTTTCCAGAGTAACTTGATTATAAATTACAGACAATGCTCTGTAAGTAAGTTAAACACCTAGCACCCAGATCTTGGTTTTGTTGTTGTTTAACCATTCTACATTAAAAAGAACCAGGGTTCCTTGGAGAAACATCTGATTCTAGGACTAGGGCAGGAAATATACAAGACAAGCCTGGAGCACCTTACAGTGTCAGAAGGCAAGGCAGTTCTCAACAACAAAACAATAAAACAAACAGAACCCAAAGACCACAGTGATGGGGATCTGTCAAAAAGACACAGAAGCCAACTGAAAGAGCTCCTAATAGCCAAAGCTGAAACATTTGAGCAACAAAAGCAAGTAGTATTAGATTATAACCCACAGTATAAAATAAATATTTATGACTCCAAATGACGTAAAAAATGATTGAATAAAAGAATAAGTAGGCGAGACTAGACAATTTTTTCATGCAAAAGAACAAGTCTGCCCTCAAGGAGGTGAAGCATAACTCCCTACTCCTTAAGTTTGCCCTGTGTATAATAACTTCTTTCCAAAGAGTAAAATAAGGAAAGGTAAATTAGAGTCACTTTAGAGTATAGAACCCTGACAAACACTGCCCCAGCCAGGTGGTCAAGGTTAATATCAGCAGTCATAAGTCATAATAGATAGTATGTACTCTTGATGTGATAAGAGTGGCACTTTAACTCTGTGCTCTTTCTCCCAAACACCCATAATTGTATGCTAATTATGAAAAAAAAAATTAAACAAATCACAATTGCAGAACAGCCTATAAAATACTTAACTGGCACACCTCCAAACTATCAAGGCTAATAAAATCAAGAAAAATCTGAGAAACTGTCACAGCTAAGAAGAGCTTAAGGAGACATGATGACTAAATGTAATAGGGTATCTTGATGGGAACTTGGAACAGAAAAAGGACACTAGGAAAAAACTAAGAAAATCTGAATAAAGCATGGACTTTACTTAATAACAATATATCATATTAGTTCATTAATCATAACAAATATTGCATACAAATTTATTGTCATTAATATTTGGGGAAACTGGGCATGAAGTATATGGTAACTCTTTGTATTATCTTCACAATTTTTCTCTATATCTAAAACTATTTTAAAATAAAATTTTATTAAAAGAAATCTAAATATGTGATCTTGTGAGTAAGTAGAAATTCTGTTATCCACCTTTCAAAGTTGTAAGATCTGGTACTATTTGAGATAATCTCAGTGTCCGGAATCACTGCATTTTGAAGGTATGAATGATTATATGTCTTGGTGTGTCTTGGAGGCACTTTGCTAATAATGCTTTTTAAAAAAACATTTGTAAAAACAAAAGGTAATGAGCTGTCCATATTCAGAGACATTAATTCCTTTGGATCCCTCAGGCAGCATTACATGTCCTGGTAAAAAGCAATGGATTAACTCTGTTCTGTCCAATACTGTAGCTATTAGCATATGTGATTACTGAGCACTTGAAATGTAGCTGGATAAAACTGAGATGTGCTATTGGTACAAAATACATACTAGATTTTAAAAACAAAAGCAAAATATTTTGTTAATAGTTTTTTATACTGTTTACATGTCAAAATTATGTTTTGGATATAGTGGGTTAACTTAATATATTGTTAAAATTTATAACACTTGCTTTTTTTTATTCTAGTATGGCTAATTGTAGCCACTTGAAATTTAAAAATAGATGTGTGGCTCACATGTCTATTAGACAGTGCTGGATTAAGTGGATCCTCGGAGACTGGAAGAGTTAATGGATTTCCCAAAAGCAAACAACGTCCCTCAGAGAAATTGTCAGACTCTGTTGTGGGTTTCTAGGCTCTCACCACAAATAGCTGGATATGTGCAACATTAAGGCAATTTCCCGGAGATGACTCTTGCCACCATGAAAAGCCACCTGCAGTGACAAGAGGCTTTCTTGATTTTTCTCTCTTATTTCCTTGAAGATTGTGCTTAAAAAGGAATGTTGGAGAGTAGTTTCTTGAAGGATTTGTGAGTGAGGAAATTAAAATGTATAAGGAAATATGAACCACTATATAGAGCACTTCTAATGCTACCTTTTTTTTTGGATGGGTTTGCCTTGGAGTTGGAGATGTAGTTTTTTCCAAACCTCTTTGGCACAACATATTTTAAAGCATGAAAATATTCTAAGGCAGTATCCACATTACAATAAAGCAACTGGCAGAAAAATGAAATGTTAACAACTTAGTTGTTTGGACTACAGAGACTATCAGACAACCAACATGAACAATGCACAGGAGACATCTTACTTTGCTAAATGTAAATTTCCTCTTGGTAGATGAGTGAGGAAGAACAAGTTCCAGCTGGTTGGCGGGCAGGCGGAGGGGTGTGGAAAATGTGTGTGGGTTTTTTTTGAAAAAAATTATTTTTAACAAAATTGTGTTTTTTAAGTTGTATTTCCTTGAGTACATTATCTTGAGAAAAAAAGAAAGAAAAGCCAAACAGAGTGTTTTAGTTTTACATAAGTAATATAGGTAGATCTGATCATAAATTCCTAAATTTTACCAAAGTTTGTCATTATAAGCAAGATAAATCAATTGTCAGTAATTACTGTCACCCTCTGCTCTGAGTGGCTCTTAGAAGGAAATTATGTGAAGAGAGATAAGCCCTGTTTTTTCAAGTAAGAGCCTTGGGGAAAGGGCTCAGGGTACAGCTTGCCTCACTCTGATGGGCAGAATTGAGTGTTGGATGTTAGGAGACGACAGCATAAAAATACTGTGTTATAATTTATGATTTGACTATTCATGCAATGCCACTTACGTTGGCACTGCAGGAGATTTACCTTAAAATTATATCAAATAACCTAGGCTAGCAATCTATGTATTTACACATGCAAGAGATGGATGAGAAAGTGGAGGCACAGGAAGCCAAGTTATTTGTAGTTGTATAGTCACACAGGGGTTCTAGACCGGTGGTCTATAATCCTAGGCTCTTTGTATGAGCCTTCTCTGCCTCTCTTACAAATACCATGCACAGCTATCACACCTAACCAGTGTACTAGAAGATTACAAGACACCTAAATGCCAGGTTGGAGAAGCACAGGTTGATTGAGCTTGATTCTTTAAGCTGAAAGCAGAAAGTCTGCTTCTACCTTTTCCTGTAGTCTCCTGGAGAGACCATCCCTCCTCAGCATTATGGGAGCTGCTCTTTGTTAAAGGCTCTGTCTGAGTGGTGTATTTTTGCCTCAGAGGCTCAATTTGATCAATTCATATGCCTATGTAAAAACCACCAAGCTTCTAAAGCGATCACATTAGGCTCACGGTGGGAGTCTCTACACATGAAGAGCAGGACATGTGTCCACTGCATTTCAGCATCTGTGCAGGACAGCCGTGCGTGCTGCTCTGCCCTGGGCAGAAGCTGTCTCAGTTGGCCTGCTTTATTCCAGCTCTGAAACCCAAGTCCCATGCTAAGGGCCAGAGGAGAGGTTCATGCTGCATTAGGCTAGCTCTGCTGAGAAAGGCTGGAGAAACACATCAGTAATAATTTAGCACTCAGCAGCTGCAAGAGTGCAGGCCCCTGCCAAGTGCCAGCCTTTGGTTCTCCTCTCTACCAGGCAGTAGCTAGTTCATTCTCTGGGCACTCAGCCACATTTCAGAGAGAGCCGTACTGGTGATGGCTGGGACAGCACAGACACACAGGACAGCACAGACACATAGCCCCCTCAACAAGGCACTACTGTGAACTATCCTGCTGCACAAACTGTGTTTAAGAATTGAGACGTTAGCAGCTAAGAGGATACAGGGAATGGTTGACTTAAAGAATTATAAAGCCAGTGATAAAATATAAAGTTCTAAATAAACACATTATAATAAGCAGAACATGATTTAGAATACATGCTGCTGAGTGGCTTCTAAATGAGACCCAATTTTAAATACACAGATTCTGGAGCTCAATTTGTTTCCTAACTGAAAAATAAATAAACAATCCACCATTTCCTGTCAGATCCCAGGGTGGTTTCCTGGAACCAAAAGAATCAATCATTCCAAACATAAGATAATCAATGTATTGGAGTGGGGGCGGGGGCAGGAAGGGGCGGGAGGAGAGGTAGGGTTTATGAAGCCTTGGCTGCCTCAGCAGTGTGTAGAAGGCATCTCAAATCTACCCAACATAAAATCTCATTCATATCCCCCTAGTTTTTCACCCTTAATCTCATCTAGATCAGATCTATGATTTCAACGACAAACCTTGTTCACCATGGCATTATTGCAGCACTCTATTTTTATTGGAAATGGCAGCTCTTATTCCAACAGACCCCTTGGCTTCTGTGTGTGGCAATCTGAGTTTGTGTCAGTTGTCAGCCTAAGGGGTTAAAATTCATTTTAAATAGCAGCACGGTGGGTGCAATCCTTCCTTTCACTTGCCTTGGGAATAATTTAGCAATCTGCATTTAAAGTCACAAAGTCTATTTGGGTTTGAGAGAGCAAATTTTATGACAATTAGACTTGTTTTTTGAAGGTGAAGGAAAAACCAAAATGGCCATTTAATAGACATTGAGCTAATCTGACATGTTGCAGGAAAATTTTTGAAGGCTAACAATAGGTTAATTCTGTAATACTTAAGATAGATGATAATGCTATTGCAGTCAACATGTTTTTTAAATCTGTATACTTTTTTTTTTTTTTCAAGAAAGAAAGAACCTTGAAGCATCCTGTGGTCTTAATCTCTTAGGCGTTCTAAGGAATTCTTCAGCCAATTAATAAAGTGCCCCTTCACTTGAAGTCTATGAAAGCCAACATTTGTGGTGAGCAGGGAACGTCAGTTAATCACATATTAGGGATGATTCCTTTGTTCATTGTGCAAAAGTGGTTTCTAGCAGACATTCTTATATTCCCATACACAATATTTATCTTCTGAAAGCCAAACGAATTCAAACAAGCCAATGTGACCTTTAAATAGTGTTTTTTTTCTGTCTCTTGGAAAACAATTAAGGGGTTTCACTATATTAGTGGGATTTCCCCTTTCTTCAGTCTTCAAAAGATTTTTCTTTCATCTTCTTTTTCTTTCTCTCCAGCTACAAAATGTGCTCATTACGGGCCTGTCAGCTACAAAAGGGAGACTTTTTCTTTTTCAGCAGGTATGAAAATCTCAATAGCTTCTTTAATCTCCAGAGAGTTCTCTTCTGCTCTATTTAATAAAACTCAGCACTTCAGTTATCAGAGTCATTAGAAGGAAGCAGGATTGGAAGAAGGAGCCTTAATTTATTTTGGTGACATATGTAATTAAACCATTTTTTTCCCAATGGCTCTATATTTTTCCACTACCTTTTTTTTCTTTCAGAATATTTCTGAAGAAAATCTCCTCATATGGAAAATGAAGATTAAGCAGCAATAAAATAAAATACCCACTCCTTCAGAAGCCAAAATAATTCTTTTACCAGGCAATTAGCACAAATAAGGGCCAGGATGCCATTCACCCCCAAATAAACCTGATTCCCTTGAATATCATTGGCACTTTTTTTACTGTCTTTTTCTCTCAACTAATCTGAAACATATTTGATGAGCCAAGTTTGCTCGATGGTCCTGTACAAAAGGATGTGAGTTTGATAACATTAAAGGGCTACAAATCTCTGTGCACTGTAGACATGACAGAGAAAGTGGATAAAGTGCATCTTCTGAAGCTACAGTCAGAAATCCAGCACTACGTTAGCACATGGCAACCAAGCTCAATTAATTATTTTTTTCTAGTTAATTATTCCTTAAGGAACCAAAAAAGTTAAAAAGTTGCAATTAGTTGAAAATACAAAATATTCTAAAAATTATCAACCTTAGGTCTGGGGGAAAGTGGATTTCAATGGCTCTCCACTGTCACCCATATCTCGGTACCCCAAAATTTAGTGGGTGTGTTATAGAATAAGCCCTCCCCCTAATCCTAACTGATGATTAATTCAAATGATTTTTTTTTTTTTTTTGGAGACGGAGTCTCGCTCTGTTGTCCAGGCTGGAGTGCAGTGGCACAATCTCGGCTCACTGCAACCTCTGACTCAAGGTTAATCCATCAATTGATGATCATTCCTTGTACAGTCAGCTGGTGTTTTGTGACATTCTTCACATGCAGTTGTCGATTCAGTGTATTTAATAAACAGAAACAAAAGCTCTGTAACACGAAGCAAAATTTTCTCTAACTTGCCCTTAGTATCCAAGGTCAATTATTTTATTATAGCTATATAGATTAACCTGACAATCTTTATTCCCTAGAAATCAATGCTAGTTCTCAATAAATCTCTATTCTATATGTAAAATATATTTAAACATTAACTTCTATACATTTTTTTCATATTTTTCCACTATATTATTAAAGTGTTCAGGGCTACAATTTCTAGTCTTTATGGAATGAAATCAGAAACATGAATTTCATTGAGGAGTGAATTGGAAACCTGTGAAGATTACGGATGACATATGCACCATATGGAAAACATTGTTCAAAATTCAAATTATACCTTTCAAGTGTCTCTCACATCTCAATATGGTTTTGTTTTTCTAATATAAAAAGGTCAAATCACTGGTATTAGGTGTCTTTTGCCTAGATTGGATATCCTGCGGTACCAAGAGTCTTTTTTGTTTTGTTTTGTTTTTCTACTTCCACATCTCCTGGTATTAGTCTATTCCTTCTCTCTCCCCAACCTACCTCATCCCATGCATTCTCTTCTTCCTGTTCAGCCTTCCTTACCAGAAAAAGAAAACAAAACTCATGATGTCATGGAAAAGTCAACCAAAGTAAACCATCGTGACAATTACGTGGAAAACAACAAAAACACAAGTAATTAAAACTAAATTGTAAAGAAAGAGCCAAGATTCCCAGTAATCTGAAAATAAGAGGGGGAAAATCTCACTTTTAAAATTTATTTAAAATGTACAAAGACAACAAAATAGGATATAGGGTAGGTGGCCACAAATGCTGGTGGAGTTTCCTCTAGATCTACTTAAGGAAACACCACATATGTGGTATAGCCAAAACCAGTTTCCCTGGCAAGAAGAGAGAGTAGTTATTATACGAGTGCCACTTTTTTTTTTTTTGAGATGGAGTTTCACTCTCGTTGCTCAGGCTGGAGTGCAATGGTGTGATCTCGGCTCACCGCAACCTCTGCCTCCCAGGTTCAACAATTCTCCTGCCTCAGCCTCCCAAGTAGCTGGGATTACAGGTGCCAGCCACTACACCCAGCTATTTTTTGTATTTTTAGTAGAGACAGGGTTTCTCCATGTTGGTCAGGCTGGTCTCAAACTCCCGACCTCAGGTGATCCTCCTGCCTTGGCCTCCCAAATTGCTGGGATTACAGGCATGAGCCACCACACCCGGACAGTACCACTTTTTTATACAAACATATTTCACTGGTTTCAACACTGATAGCATTCATTGTTGCTTTCTTCTTTTTAGTAACATTTTCATTTATCTAGCCTACAAAAATCTGAGGTATATGACATGAAGAGTTCTGACCCTGGTGTCAAACCGTCTAGGTCTCAGCCTGGAGCCACCACTTTCTAACACTGTGACTAGTCACTCAATCTCATGAAGCCTTATTTTATTTAGCTACAAAATGGGAATAACAATAGTATTTACTTCATAGGATTATTGTGAGGTGTTAATAAGATCATGAATGGAAAGCAACATGTCTGACATACCTCAAGTATGCCACGAATCTCACAGTTATTAGCACTGTTATTTTTATTACTATTAAACTCTATGACTTGAGTTCTTGAATCAGAAAACACTCTACAGTGCCCACTCCATTGGGGTTGCAAATTTTTCATCTTAAAATCCTTCTATACTAGTGGTTCTCAGGCTTTAGTCTGCATCAGAATCACCTAGAAGCCTTGCTAAAATCACAGATTGCTGGGCTCCACTCTTAGAGTTTCTGATTTAAAAGTTTGGGGTGGGCCCAAGACTCAGTATTTCCAACAAGTTTCCAATAGTAATGATGCCACTAGTCATGGATCACGCTCCGGTGTTCCATACCAGGGATTGGCAAACTTTTTGTATAAAGTTTCAGATTGACCATTACTAAATACATCTCTAAAATATTCTAGTCCCTTAAGTCAAATGAGGCAAGTGAATTAGATCAGTGGTTTTCAAACATTTTCTAACAGTGAGGCCCTTTCTTTAAATAAAGTCTTATGCAGAATTCAAAAACTGCTACCCAAATGGGCGCCCAAAACTCTGCTTTCCTTCTTCTGCAATCTCAGGAATTATCTATGCCTTGGAGGAGAAAGAACAGTTTGAAAAATACTGGCAGTGGTGATCTGGAGACTGGAATTAGTCAAGAACACAGTGTTGGTGTCTGACAGACATGGATTCCGGTTCAAACTCTGCTGCATCCACTCTCTATCTGACCATGGATAAGTTACTTAACTTAGTAAACTTCATTTTTCTCATTTATAAACAGAATAATAACAGCACTGATCTTATTGGGTTGTTTCCAGAACCGAGAGATAGTGCATTGGAAGTCCCCAGCACGGTTTCTGGCACTGTGAGAGCTCACATGTTAACAGTGATTAAGGTTCTTTATACAATTCTTTGATTTAAGCAGCCATCAAAAAACTTCAAAAATCTTTCTCCCCTCCTCTTTTCTCTTGTGGGATACACTTCAATTAGGCCTTACACCCAGGAGTAAGGGATAAAAGAACAAGTGATTAAACCATTTCTACGATCTTAATTACCACTAATTTAATGAAACCCTTAGTGTGGCAGAATAAAATGGTTTCTGCAAGTCTGCTATATCAAAAGACCATTTGAGGAGTAGAGAGATTGTCCAGGTAAGCTGGCAGGAATTATAAGCATCTTTTGATTCCCATCCACATGTTGTTTCTCATTATAAAAAGATGACCTATGACTTATCTAGAAACATCTGGATACTTTGAGGGATCTTCCAAGAACTCTCTTAAGAAAAGATTTGAACATATAAAGTGCCTGATAAATAAATGCATAATTATGACTTTTCAAGTAGAGTTAAATGCCACTTTAGTCAAGTCTTTCAGCGTTCTCCAGGGTTTAAAAGCATCACTAAGCTGTTGCTTGACCTCATCTAGTTGTTCATCCTAGTAAGAAGATGGGAAGCATTCATGCAGCCACCTTTCTAGAGGATGTTATTAGGAGGGGCACTTGACAATGAGCCCTTCCTAGAATCTCTGGTGGGTATAATACTGTGTAATTGTGAGAGTTTCTGGAGTGCCCTCATGTCCTTGAACTCGTGTCTACTCCCCAAAGGGAGTGTGTTTGGTATAGTGTTTTTAGTTTCAAACAACGGGCAGAAAATCAGCTAATTCAAGCAAAATAAATAAATAAATGAAAAGCAATAGAAAAGTTAAAACCTTTGAGGGTTTTCATGATTATCTGATCAGAGTGTTGCCATTAACACACCTTAAATCCACTTACTCCAAGCCAGGTTTCAAATACCTGGCAGAAAGAATCTGAGTGCCTAGGTGGGCTAGGTGTCACCCACACCTAGAAGAATTGGCCCCATGTGCGGCAGTTCTCAGAGAAGCAGGAAGATGAAGCTGGATTGGTGCCTCAAGAGGGTCCAGTACAGAAAACATGTGCCAACTACACATCACTGAAGTACATGTGATCTCCATGAAAGTGCCAGAGATGAGGGCAGAGACTTAACTTCTACAAAAGGAAGATGTCCATTTTTTTGCCATTGTTGTTGTTGAATTTAATCAGACTAAAATGTTTTTATTTACTAAAGAAAAACTCAGTACGGCGCTTACACCTGCATTTTGATGGCCAGGCCATAGCAGATGTTTCATGGCCTCTGTATTTAATAGTTCATTTACATTGAACTGCTAGGAATATGGAAGCTGTATTAGATGTTCCTTAGGGACTGGGTGAAGTTAATGGTAGATGCTCTCTTGAAAGAGTCCCCTGGAACCTGTTTCTTATCTGGAGAAGTGAGTATAACAAATGTTCATCAATAGCAATAGGAACAGCTTCTTATTTACAAATTTGAGCCCTCTTATGAGTCCCTTTCGCCGTAACAGTATTAATAAAATAACTGGCCCATCTCTAAGCCTTGCAGGGTTTTCCAGTGAATGACCCTAGAACTGTCTCCAGCAACAATCTAGATGGACCTTGCCCTGGTTGGAGGGGTGGGGGCCGTGTCTGAATTCAACTTCTCATAGGAACTTGAATCCCCAAAATCACCAGGTGCTGAGAGGCTTGTATCTTCTATCACTGCCCCCAACTAACTGACTTATTTTGCTTGGCAGCTGAATGTAAAACATTCATTCCCCCAACCAAAGGTGCTTTCACACCTGACCTGTAAAAAGGAGGAGGAAGCAGTGCAAGGTCCCTTTCCTGGAGCACAGCTGTGTACCGGCCCAACCATGCCTTTCTGAAAGGTGTGGTGCAACTGGTTACCCATGAACCAGCTCACCGCTTGGCTCCACATTCTCATCCTCAGCAAACTTGTGTTAACTCTGGATTCTTTGCCCAACACATACTTATGCCTGAAGTCACATTTAGAAAGGTTACAGAAATCAAGAGACTAGAGGTAGAATTAAATGAGATTTGCCTGCATTTTTGTTTTTGTTCTCAGAGAGGAGTACAAGTAATAATTGTTAAAGGGCCAAGGTCTCCCTGTGTTGCCCAGGCTCGTCTCAAACCATCCCATGGCCTTGGCCTCCTCAAGTGCTGGGATTACAAGTGTGAGCCACTGTGCCTAGTCCTAACATTCTTAAGAGGCAAAAAGGTGGTGTTTGGCAGAAGACTTACATGATGTGTTTTCGAGGGAGTTTAATTGTTGCTCTTAGGTTACGTGTATGCAGGGGATTGAACATCTTTATGAATAAGAGTGTTCCTTTCTTTCCATTTCACATATATTTGCTTCCAGTAAGCCCGGAGTACAAAGACAAGAGATCAATAGAATATTGATTCAAGGTTCTGTGTGGATTCAGGGCAAAGGTCTTGCAAGTATGATTCTCCGTTTTTTTTTTTTTTTTTTTTTTTTCTTGTTGTTGTTATTGTTGCTCTTTGAGACAGGGCCTTTCTCTGTCACCCAGGCTGGAGTGCAGTGGTGCAATCATTGTAACCTCAAACTCCTGGGCTCAAGCAATCCTCCTGCCTGAGCCTCTGGAGTAGCTAAGACTACAGGCATGTGCCACCACGCCCAGCTAATTTTTTTTTCTTTTCTTTTCTTTTTTTTTTTTTTTGTAGAAATTAGGTCTTGCTATGTTACTCAGGTTAGTCCTGAACTCATGGCCTCAAGTAATTCTCCTGCTTTGGCCTTCCATAGTGTTGGGATTACAGGTGGCAGCCGTTGCACCTGGCCACAAGTATGATTATCTCATTGTCATTTCTCTGCAGAGAATGTTTTCTCCTCTTTTCCTACTATGCAATCCAAGTCTCCAAATCCCTACTTTGATTTAACTTCCACTTTTCAGTTACGACACTTCTTTACCATCTACCTGAACACCACTGAAGAGAGAGTAAAAACATAATAATTAGCCACTTAGGATGCAAATTTGTTACTTTGATGGCTGCTCAGCATTTAAACTCTTTTGCTATATGAGGACTCTGTCATTGTGTGAATCTTGGTGGAGGATAAGGGCTTTCTTCTCTACAAAAATAGGACCAAATAACTTGCACTACTTATCCCTTGACAGCTAGGGCACTATCATAAGATTTGAACTTGACCAATAAGAATTATCACTGGAGGCTGGGTGCGGTGGCTCATGCCTGTAATCCCAGCACTTTGGAAGGCCAAGGCCGGTGGATCACTTGAGGCCAAGAGTTCGAGACCAGCCTGGCCAACATGGTGAAACCCCGTCTCTACTAAAAATACAAAAATTAGCCGGGCCTAGTGGCAGGCGCCTGTAATCCCAGCTACTAGGGAGGCTGAGGCAGGATAATTGCTTGAACCCAGGAGGTGGAGGCTGCAGTGAGCCAAAATCGTACCACTGCACTCCAACCTGGGTGACAGAGTGAGACTCCATCTAAAAAAAAAAGAATTGTCAATGAAATAAATTAAAATATTAGTCCCAATTCTTTACCCTATCCTGTGCCCACGACTTTTGCTATTGACTTCACAGCTCTTTTCAGTGTTTTTCACTGCCCTTTGACTGGATTTGCCATACGACTTGCTTTTGCCAACAGAATGTCCGCAGATGTGATGTTGCAGAGGTGTGAAATGTACTTACACAATCTGGCTTGCCATCTAGAACTTCTGCCATCACAATGAGAAGAAATGTCAGGCAACTCACTGATCTAATAAGAATGAGAGACAGGAGTTGAGATTGAACTCACCTGAAGTCCAGAGCCAAGCACAGCCAAGCACAGCTTAGAGATCAGCTAATCCCTACCTCACCCACAGACAAATGGGCAAAAATAAATTGTGGTTTTAAGCCATTGAATTTTGGAGTGGTTTTGTTATATAGCACTAATGTGGAAACAGTTGACTGATCCACTCCATCTTGGAAATTTGAATCTGCAGCCCTTGATGCAGAGAAACAGAGATGATGCAGAATTTATTTCATCCACAGTGGTACCACATTTGGGGACAAGTGTGGAATCCAAGTGACAAGATCCAGTGTTCAATACCTTGGCTGAGGTTTCAGCTACCCAGTTTTCTTATGTTCTGATTTTCTTCCCTGGTTTGCTGGCCTTCTGGGTTATTTTATAACTGACAGCCTTCCAATAAACTTATTTCCTGCTTAATTTTACTGGGCCAGTATCTGTTATTTGCAGATAAGAGCCCTGTCTGAGTCAGCCCTTATATTTCATGGGAAATACAGGATTGAGAAAAGCAGAGTGAAACTGGGCAATCGTGGAGAAAGTAGGGACATTAGTCCATGAGTCCACAGTTCTGGGGACAGGGTGTAGAGGATAATTTCTCTATACTATAGGCAGAATTTTCATTTTATGCCTCAGAGAACTTTCAACGGTTGCTATGTTCACACAAAGCATGTAAGTAATGAGGTAGGTGAGTAGGTTCCAATTCAAAAGGAGTGATCAAAGTTTTATTTTTTATTTATTTTTTAACCAGTAAACTATGGTCACCAAGAATCTGCAAACTAATAAATTGTGCCTCACTGAGACTTCTATTCATTAATTTTTGATACTTAGACCGCTTTCTGATATGCTAAGAACTCCTAATGAGGAAACGTAGAATAAATCATCAGGTAGGAAAAATATTTCAATGGAGAAACATAACCCTCATATAATATGCTTCTTTACCATGTCATTCATTAACCTGGATTCAGTAATTAACAGGATTACATAAAAAACATTTAAATGTCCAAAGCCATATTTAACTACTATAAAATCATTCATGTACAGATTTTCTTACTGAGTTGTCAAGAGAAGTATAAACATTTTTTACTAGTTGTTTTTTGTCTGGCTCTTGAATATTCTTCAGGCTTTCATGAGCCTCAAAGTGTACATAACTGAGTGGTGTAATAAATGCCAGATTCTCCAGGATTGTATGTGAAGTGAATGTAGATATGTTTGCCATTATTGTCCTAAACCAGAAAATCGGGGAAAAGTATAAAGTTGGTATCTTTGTGGCACGTAATCTCAGATAGATGTATTTTATTTTAAGATAGATGAGAATTGAACTTCTTCACTCAAAAAATAAACTAATTTACTTAGCCTTAATTTTATATTTAACACAAGGCATTTGTTTCTGGAAATTGGATCACACTGTTGTATATGTAGGACTTTCATTGACTAGTATATACGCTTTAAGTTTATTATCTTTTGCCTTTACACAAAACCCTTGGCAGACTATTCTTAATGCATGTATTTAGGAGATAGCTGAGTCTGTTTCTTGTCAGTTCTAAATTTAAATGATTTACTTTTCTTGATGGTTGAAAATGCTTGAAGTCAGGGCAATGGAGGTAAATACAGTCCATTTGTGCTTCTTCAAAGCATTAAGAATTTACATAATAGATGAAAGTTTACTAAATACTGTGCACATTCTGGGTTTCCAAAGGCAAATAAGAATTGACCACCCTTTAATACTTTTAATTCCTATGAAACGTCTAGTGTGAGAAAGTAGGAGAGCGGGAGGAAAAAAGGGAGACAAAGATACAGATTCAGAGAGAAAATGACAAAGACTTTTCATTTTTCACGGGAATGAAACAAAGAGAAAATAAGCATTAAAACAAGGTGTAATAAGGGTCTGATGGTCTGAAAGTATCAAGCATAAATTTAAAAAGTATGTCATGAAATTCAAATGTATATACTTGGTATTTACCTTATCACATTTTTTTAACCATAAAAATATAGATTTTAAAAAATAAAAGGAAAGAAAACTCACTGTTATTCCCACCTCCTAGAGAAAATTATTATGTTGGTATTTTTTATAATTCTTTTCTTATAAATGTGTGTGTGTGTGCATGCACCCATGCATAAAATATTTTGTAACATAATTTCTTTTCTTTCTTTTTCTTGTTTCTTAAAATTTAAGATGGAGCCTCACTCTGTCACCCAGGCTGGAGTGCAGTGGCGTGATCTCAGCTCACTGCAACCTCCACCTCCTGGGTTCAAACGATTCTCCTGCCTCAGCCTACTGAGTAGCTGGGATTATAGGCACACGCAATCACATCCAGCTAATTTTTGTATTTTTTAGTAGAGACAGGGTTTCACCATGTTGGCCAGGCTGGTCTCAAACTCCTGATCTCAAGTGGTCCATCCCCCTTGGCCTTCCAAAGTGCTGGGATTACAGGCATGAGCCACCGTGCCTAGCCTGTAACATGATTTCATCACTAAATATATTGTGTCTATCCTTTCATGTTGAAAGTTTTACTTCAATATACATTTAATAGCCATGTAAATATTCCATTTTGTATAATAAAAAAATTATTTCAAAATGTTCTATAAATCAATCTCCTACAACTTCCATTATTAAAATGGAACTATAGCCCTACTGCACCCTGAATGAGTGAAAAATTGGAAGACTGTAAAATAGATGGCCACATGCCCTTCAGGCTCTCGCATCCAGGAGTGCTTTGCTCAGTCTGAATGTTCTGTGGTATGCCCACAGCCTCATCGAACTTTTCAAAGCTCCTGTCTATTACTTTATCACTTACCAGATCCTAATTTCTTTTCTCAGCCTGGGGAGCATCAGTTTCTATACTGAGAGCATTGAAATTATCGTTGCACTTCTCCAGTTTGCCCAGTGTCCTGCAGTGTTTAATAGAATTAGATTTAAATATGATACTTCAGCAGATGATTCCCACATCTAATGCACCTCATTCTAATGTACTTCATCTGAAGATTCATGGTAGGAGGAGGGAGTTATTTAAAATGAAATATGCTCTACCACACTAAAAATTTATGAAACATAAATGGTAAGCTTTTTAAAGGTGTAATTTCAGGTTACAGGTAGGTTGGAGTGGAGATATATTTCCAAATCACATTGAAATAATGAGAAGTAAGAAGCAAACCCTTCTGCCTATATATACTTACCCTGAACAAAAGATCTGTTCGTGTAGATCTAAATAGAAACTTAGGATACCATGCCCATTTAAGTACATGTGATATAAATTAATCTTAACAAGACATCAATGTGATTTGTGCCATGTTGTCCTTTTAAATATATCACTTCCCAAGTGGAAACAATTTAAGTGTCCAATAACAGGGGACAGGTTAAATACATTTTATTGTATTCTATGGTGGGATATTCCCCAATTATTTAAAAATCGTATAATAGCAAAAATCTGTAACTTGTGAAAAGACATTCACAAAAGGGGGAGAAAAGAAGGCTACAAAATAGCATGAACTATTCTATCCCATAAAAAATATTTTTATCTGTACATGGACATCTTTATATGATCCATTATAGTGGTTATTTTGGACTGGTAAGATTACTGGAAGCCTTTTTTTTTTCTTTGTGTATTTGCATTTTCTGAATTTTCTACAATTTAGTTTTGTAAGGGAAAAAATTTAAATTACTTTCAGGTATGAGACTAATGGTGTCATGGAAGTTTGTCTTCCATGTGATTCTGTAGGGGGCTTATTGAACCATCTCTCAAGCACAGGGCTTGTAATTCAAAGGAAAATAAGAAGCTTCTCCTGCTTAGTGACTCATACTGTGCTAGGATGATCACAGTTAGGAGCTGCTACATGAGTGTGTTGCCTTGGATCACAGCAAGTAAAAACACGGAGGGCAGAATAGGGGCAAATAATAAGCAATGAAAGGCCTAGAAGTAATTTTCTTTCTATTTTTTTCTCCTTATCTTATTTCAAGTTGATGTGGATATTTCCCTTGGCATAGTGTAGACAATGGACGAGTTGGTTTTGCCGGTATTCATAGGAAACAAGGTTGATCTAAGAATTACATAAAGAAAAGAGTAACAAGTACATGTTCCATGAATGTTTCCTAGCGAAGTAACCACTGTTATAATCACAGAATGTCTCCTGTAACTCTTCAAAAAGCCCAAAATGAGCCCTGGCGTAATTTCTAGGAAGGTAAATTCCTGGATACATTTCACAAATGTAGAACTTCCAGCTACAATGGGATTTCCAAGATCATGGCTGGAAAAAACCAAATGTGTCTTCATTCTTTAAGAGTTCTTTGTCTATGTTTAAGCAACTGCTGAGGACCAGTGAAGAACAACTTGTACTGCCAATACAGGACAGTCATTGGTGTTCACAGCTGGGAAGGCTTTTGAAGGTCTTCTAACCCAAACCTGAGGGAGATGACACTTGCCCCTAAGTTCTGTATCTCCCGTAAGGATTGCAGCTCCCTCCCACTACTTTCCCATCATGTAAATGGAAAAGGAGAACTGCACAGTTGCTTAGGCTGAAGTTTTATCCCTCACTCCTATTTTCTCATAATGCCTTTTGGCATTTGTGCTATAACTGCGACTATAGCGACTTCAGTGAAATGAAGATGTGGTAGTAGGAATTGCAACATGAGCTTTGACTAGACTATGTGGACAAGAATACGAAATAGCATGGACTCAGTGATATTTGTCCCCTTTAAAATAAAACATAACAATTGAGAGCTTAGTTTTAAAACTCAACATGTTTATTTTCTGAAACCCGCTTTATCTAGACTTCCATGACTAATTAAAAGATGACAAATTTGGATGGAGCAGAAAAGGTCCCTATGGAATAGATTAGGGAGTGTTAATATACTTAAGTAGAAAGAAAACTTCTGTAGAATTAGTGATACATGACTCAGATAACTGTCAGGTTCTGTAAAGTTTGCTGCTCACACATAACAACATAGCTCACCCGTACCTTCAATGCACTTATTTCCTTCTAACTCCATTGGGTGTGATACTAAGACTGTCCAAGATCATCTATCATTTTGTTGGACTTCTTCACAGCCCCTCTGTTTCCTGGCTGAGTTATTTATGTAACATTATTCCACATGGGAAAGCCCAGCTGTTAAAGTTTTAGAATCAGGAATAAGAACACATTTTTATTAGATCCTTCATCTTGTCTACAGTGGGTTTTCTTGGTTTAAATAATGATAGCAGCATACTAGCTCCTCGTTATAACTCACTCCCCTGTATGTGCTTTTGGAGAGGAAAATGGCCTTTTCCTTCTTTTGGGGTTCCAGAAGGGGGGCTTATATCAAACTAAATATGAAATCAATGTGTGGGATTGTATAATCACCTGTTGAGTTTGAACTCATCCACCTGGGGTGGGCACTGCAGAGGTAAAAATGATAGAACTGTTATAGATTGGTGGTAGCATGAGAGGTATATGAGAAAGGAAAAGGGGGAGTTAACAAGATTAGAAAATTTTAAGCATAGAAGGAAAGTGGCACTGTTAAAAAACAAAATAGGGTGACCCAGAAGGAGAAGCAGGTTTTGAAGAATTCTGTTTGGGATATATTGAGTTGCTGGCAGGAAATCCAGGTTGAAGGGTCTTAGAGAGCATGATGACTTTGTAATGTGTCAACTTGGTTAGGCTGCTCATTTCCTAGGACTGCCTTCCTTGTAAACTTCTGGTTAGTGTGGACCACAGGAGGGAGTCTTGGGTGAAATTTGTTCAACAGAGGTAAAGCAGTAGTAATTTTGTAGCTCAACTGTGATGTCACAGATGTGCAGATTAACGTTGTTACTGTGAGGCAGCAGGTGGGCCTATAACTACTCTATCTTCCCCTGGATTATCCTTCAGCCTCTCTGACTTCTTGGCCACATATAGCTTCAAGAAGGGCACTGGCTTCTTTCTGCAAGACATCCACAGTACCAAGGTCAATGACAAGAACTGACACAGCTTCTACCCTTCCCTTCCCTTCCCTGTGGATTTCAGGTCCAACATTAGAAACAAAGACAATAGTCTTACAGAGACTACTCTATTAGCTCCTTTAATTATGTAAGGTCAAATCCTTTGGATGAGTTGGCCAGCCTTCTCTATGGCTCAAAGCCCTGCATGATTTGGCTTATTTTTTCTTTCCAACTTACTCCATTCTTTGCCTCACTCAGTATTAGTAACATTAAATAGCATTCTTCATGCTAGTTTTCTATGAATTTCTCCACCCCTTCAAGTCCCAAGCTCTTTCCTGTCTCTGCCACTTTGTTCATGCTCTTCATCTGCAGTAGATCTTAGCCTAACCATCAACTTCATGGACTGGCATTCCCTTACCACGCCATCTAAACCGTCCTTCAGGTGTTACCTTCAGGGTTCTAGAGGTTGTGTATGCTTATCTAATTAGCTATTTGGTTAGTTGATCTTTACTAGACTCTAGGTTCCATGACAGCAACAGCTGTATTTGTCTTATTCCACATTGTATATCCTGTCCTAGCACTGTCTGGCACACAGCCTGTTCTCAAAGGATTCATGTAGGGATGAAATGGGAGATATGGAGGACTCTACTTTGTGGGTTTGGAATGATAGAGGGATTAATTTTCTATTCTTTGGCGGTGGGGAGGGAGGCAAGGATTATCCTGCATTCTAGCCCAATTTCTGTTCTTCTTGGCAGGTCAAACTAAGTGCCTAGGGATTCGCTAAGTTGTCTACATCGAATTTGTTACATGTTAAAAGAGTCAATAAAGCTTCTTTGAAGATGCTGGTCATCTTCAGAAACACTTTTTAAAAAGCAAGCAAACTATTTCTATCAAATAAAATCAAGATAAATATGATCTTCTATTCTTTCAGAATCCAAAAGAATGTTGTATTCTATTCTCTGTAACTTAATTTCCAAGGTCAAATCTTTTGGTATTATCCTGAGCCTCCAGATCCCTTTTAACACTTCATTACTGCAAAGATTCTTTGATGCTGGCCTTCTTGAAATCCCTCATGTCTATTTTCTTACTTCTTTTTATTTTTTTTCCAGTATTTAGCCTAGCTATAGAAATAAAAAAAGTTGAGGTGGCTGATAAATTACAGGTTTTAGCACTTTGGGAACAAATGCTACATCCCTACACATTTGCTTTTAGGCTACTTCCCTTGTCAAAGCTCAAACAGTAGTGTCTGGGTATCACGCAGTTTCTGAATGAGTGTTCTCATCCTCCACAAAGTGTGTGTGAAGTAACTTACCCTTGTTTCCAATATTTATGTTTTCTCCCTTGCCCTTGCCCTCCCTTCCACCCCTAGATGAATCTGTTATCAGTAAGGACATTAATGTAAACCCTCTGAATTAAAAACAGATCTTGCTTTCCTGGTTATATTAAATTTGGTGGTCTTAAGCACAGCCATTTTGAATTCTTTTGACTTATTAATATAAATTGGAAATTTAGTGATTTTCCTATAATGTCTTTTATCAACTGGTGGTTTAATGGGGCAGTGGGGTACGTTTACAATATTTACTGAAAGAAACAACTAAGATACTGCCTTTCAATTTATATCTGAAGTATTTTCTTAGATCTAAATCTAACTAAAAATACAATTGCTACAATTCATTTGGTTAGGTAAATTCCTTCTAGTTACAGGTCTGACAAAGGTTGGTCTGTGTTTATTCAGTTTTGGGAAGCTAACAGCAGGAAGACCACATTCCTCAAAGCAAGACAAAAGCCTTTTCATATTTCTCAGTAAATACTAATAATAGTATAAATTGGCTGAATAATCTGACTGATGGACAATGCTCACAAACAGATTTTAGACAGAAAATAATAGTTACTTGCCAGAATGTTTGGGCATCTGAAGGCTCCCAGTTGAGGACAAGGTTGAAAATAACTCAGTAATTGATAACTGTCACTTTCACTCAGAATCGGATTTCCACCATCTCTGGGAAAATTAAAGACTTCACACCCAAAGCAAACTGCTGGAGTCATTTAAGGCTCTTCAAAGCATACTCAATGATAACAGCAATATAGTAGATCCAATAGCTAGTAGGATGCAAAACAACAATAAAAATAATACCCCAAAACGAATCCTGGCCATCCATGAATGCAAATGCAGGTAGGAAAAAAAAAATAGAACATTTCTCTATTCTCATCCTACTAGAAAGGTGGAAATTTCCATTTTCTAACCTCTAAAAACTGCTTTCACATATCTGACAATAAGACAAAAGTAGGAGGCTCTTGAGAGTTCATCTTGACTTTTATTACACACTAGACATATATGAACTAATCAGAGATGTGCATGATTCTCTGTACTCTTAAAATCACAGGAAATATAATTCCACCTCCCCCTTTTTTTCTGATATTGGAGTAGCATTTCAGATTTTGGAGATTAGCTTAGGGCAAAGTAAAAGTCATGGAAGGCAGTGTATAAATAACATTAATTATGAAGCTACTTTTCAGAAGCTAGTAGTAACTTGCTTAGTAATAACCACAAGGTTGTACAGCGTTCACAATGCTGGTATTAATCAGCTACATATTTTGAACATCTACTGTTACTGGATACCAAAGAAAGTGAGTTATTTAAGAATCTTCCATTCTTGTTATAAGCTTCCTATGATCCAGTAACTTCTCAAAGGCTTTGCAAAAAGCGTAAGTCCTTGCTTTTTGAGAATTTTTTTTTGTGCACCCAGGAAATGTAAATGCAACCATCACTGCTTCTTGTGCAGGTGTGTGCTTTAACAATCAGGGCTGCTTTTGGTATCAAGAGTATGAGCTATTAAGAGTTTCTAAAAATACTGACCTAACTAGTCAGTTGCCTCCACCTTATATACTATTCAGGCAAGTCTTCGGAAAGTATACTACTGTATTCCTAGTCCAAAATAAGGTAGGCATGAATATATTCAACCTTCTTTGCACATACACCAAGGAAGAATTTAAATTTCTGCCCTTGAGTAGTTTTGTGTTAGGCAGGAGGAAAAACATATTCAATTTTGAGGTAGGTAATCAACAGGAATGAGAAAAATACAAGACAGTCTAAGATCTAACCTTTGCCTACCTTTCTAGGCTTATGTCTTAATACTCCCGAAGTGGCACAAGCTAGGTTATTTCTAGTTCTTAACAGACTACTGTGCTTTTGCACAATGCTCTCAAGTTCAGCTTAAGCAGTGCTCCTCTGGAAGTTCACACCCTAACTGAACTGTCACTCTTCTTTATTTTCTTCTAGAATCCTGGGATTATCTGAATAATAAATGCCATCACATTGTACTTTTAATACATACTTCATCTCTTTCACCTAGTGCACTATGAATTACTACGAGGAAGAATCTGTGTGCCTATCTTCCTGTCTTCAGTGATGATATACTGAAAGAATGGTGTAGGAGTAGAAATATTCTATTTACCAGTGCTAACTCTTTTTCACAAAACCAGGCAGAGATCTGCTCATTTTTACTCTGTAAACTTGGAAAAGTTAATTTATTCAATCTCTATTTTGTCCTAACTAGACTGATCATCTTATTACTAAGATGAAGGAATCTATTGCAAGTTACACGTTACTATCATCCCCTGGTATGAAAGAGCGATTTTGAACCTGAACATATAAAAGCATTCAAGATAGTGTCTGGCACAGTAGAACAGGGATTAACAAGACACTGGACTTGATCCTCAAATTATTTAAGCCACAGAAGGGATTCAGACTCTGGCCTTTTGATTGACCACCTTTTAAGATTGCTTGAAAAGACAACGCCCTTCCTATTAGCACAGCTGAAGCCAATCCAGAACTAAACATCAGCACACAAAAAATACCAGGATAGATGGAATCAAAAGACTCTGAAGCCAAAAGGAGGCTAGGGAGAGCAACTGAACTTAGCAAGCTGAGGACTTCAGTGTCCATCATCCGATCCTGCCCTGTAACAACAGGTCTATATGATAGAGATATTCCATCTGAGCTGGAGGCCATTATCCTTAGCAAACTAACACAGAACAGAAAACCAAATACATGTTCTCATTTAGAAGTAGGAGCTAAATGATGAGAACTCAAGGACACAAAGAAAGGAACAACAGACACTGGGGCCTACTTGAGGGTGGAGGGTGGGAGGAGGGAGAAGAGCAGGGAAAATAACTACTGGGTACTAGGCTTAGCACCTGGGTGACAAAATAATCTGTACAACAAAACCACTTGACATGAGTTTACCTATATAACAACCTGCACATGTACCCCTGAACCTAAAAGTTAAAAAAATAAAAGGGATAGTCTATCTGATGCTTAAATTGATCTTTAATAACCTTCTGCATCCCACCACCCCACCAAAACCACAAGAGAAATATCTCAATATTCTGTGGGCTTAAAACCACCTACACTGCCCCTTGGGTTAGAGAACAGGATTCCGTGGTCCTCTTTGAAAAATATACATTAAAGAAAATGTTAATTGCTTTTATTCATACTGTGTCTCTCCCTGACTTCTCCAAAAGCTTGTGTTTCAAAAGGTCAGAATGGTTGTTGTTACAAATATGCTGCCTCCCACTCTGTTTAGCATCTATACAAAGCAAAACGTTTTGTATGTTTCCACAAATTTTCCCCCAAAATTATCTCTTCCTTTACTTTCCACCTACCTCCTCTGAGATGCCAAATTAAGAAATGTCTTAGAATATCTAGAATATTCTTCCTCTTTTCATATTCGATTTGTCTTAGCATATAAAAAATTAGTTGACATGGCTTTCGGAAAGTCCAGTTGGCAGCAGAGCTGGACAACAGATGGCCACCCAGAAATTAGAGCCAGAAAGGTGACTTACTCAGCATGCATACACTGACAAGAATCCTATTTTTGAGAAACCCTAAAAATCCTTGACCTGATGTAAAGCCCAAGAGGCAGTTTAGAGGAAGAACAATGATTATAACCTGATTCCCTATCTAAAGCAAAATATACCACTTTTAACTGCCATAGACATGCCAAAAATATAAAACCAAAACCAAACCAAAACAAACAAACAAAAAATCCCCAGATAACAAAATACAGAAAATCAAACCAAAACCAAAAAACACCCCCAAACAAAAAACCACCACAGGCAACACACAAGCTTAAGATGTTTCCTAGAATCCATTCCAAGTGGTTTAAATTAGTCTAAAATAAAAATAGGTGGCTTTCAGTTCCATACGTTGTTTCTGCAGAAATAACTACTAGCCTATTAATCTAGAAATAATTTTTTTTGTTTAAAAAAAGGGAGAGTTTCTTCATTTTATCTTTATGATGAATTAATAGCTGCAAACAATCTAATTAATACTATCTACAACAGGTAATTTTTAGCTAAGATTTAAGTTCCTCGTAGCTCTGAAATTTTAACTGAATTTTAGTTGAACCTTAAGAAATGTTAACCATGACCTTAAAATAACTGCTCTATTGTAAAATTTAGAAGTCACATTCCTAATATTCCTCTCGCCTAGACTAAAAATTGTTGAAGGTCTCCTTTCACTATCAAAGTTCAAAGATACTTGTGCCACAGTATACAAATCAGCAGATTTGAAAACTATTTATCACCTCCAAAGTAACAAAAGAGATTCCAGTTCAAGTTGACAAAACACAAACTGGATTTAAAGTGCTGTGTTAAAAAACAAAACAAAAATACAGTTCCTTTACGGCAATTAAAATAAATGTTTCATTTTTGAAGCCATGACACTAAAAAGAATGAAAAACACATATAGGATAATTATTTTATAATTGTTCTTTTCATTCTAAGAACGTTGTGTTTTTCAGAGAAAGACAGCTTTCCAGCAAAAATTCATGCACAAAATACATATACTTGACAAGATGTTTCAGAGCCTACTATGTCATTTGGCTAGTCTAAATCCACTAATGTTAACTATCAACATTTTCCCAATACTATTTTTAAGTTACATCTCATTTACCTTCGTCCTTAAGAACTGCATAAGCTTGTTTTAAATATTTTAAATACTTGTCATAAACTAGAGTTTGCTAAGAGTAGAGGTACTCTGGTTAATGATCAAAATGGTGTGCCCAGAGGAAAAGCAAGCACTATTAAATATTAATGCAATCCTTATCAACACAAATTGAGCCATTTTAATAAAAAAGCTAGTCCAAAAAAGGTTCTCATTCTATAAAGATTAAATCATTTCCAAATCACAGTGAAAGGAACTTGAGTAATTAACCAATTTTGTTTTCTACTATGTGCCTTAGAGATACCTCACTAAAATTTTGTATCTGATACAACAGAATAACATTTGCAGAATGTAATATTGTAGTGACAGTACTGAGGTTGATTGTTACAGACTATTAAATGGTTACATCTTAATTGTTTATACAGAACATTGGTCCAATAACATTAAAATAGAGAACAGCATCTGGAAATTTATCTCATTCAATGTTCGGAGATAAAAGAGTTAAACATCCTTTCCATTATTTTCTGCAGTCAGTCCTTGTTCACAATCAAATCTGATGGCAACTACATTCTGGCATTTTCCCCAGCTACTGTATGAAGAGGATGCTGAAGGCCATTACTATACAGCATACTGCAACATAAGGACTCTTCCGTTCACCTGTTGAAAAAAAGGAGATGTTCATCTTGATTAACTGAGTGGCTAACCTGGCTATGACAAGGTTATACTACCATAAGAATCAAGATAACATTCTTCCCTAGGAGGCCCGCACATTGGGGGTGGGGCAGTGACAAAAACTAGATGCAACATAAAAAACAAGTACAATACAGAATGGGCTAAACTATTAATATATCAATTTATTTCTAAGAGGATCTTCTTTTCATATATTTAGAAAACCTCGAAAGCATCATTTCTTTGTCACTGTGTAAACTCAGACACTAAAAAATACAATGCAGAATGTAGGACAGAGATCCAAGAGAAACGATCTCAACTCAATTGAGGCCAAAGAAATATTGTTTATTTTCTGTCTATAAAAAGAACAAAACTTCCATCCATAAAAAGACACAACAGTTTTCCTTACTGGTAGCAATTTGTGACACTTAAAGGTACAGGGAAGGGGGAGCATTCATGGATGAAAATAAAGAGAGGATGGTCAATAAAACTGCATTTAAAAAATGGACAAATTAAAATGCTTAATTAAAAAAATTAGAAAAACTATTTCTGAGATAGTATGCTTACTCTGGGTTAGAAAAGTAGAACTAAAACTAACCACTTCTGTATCAGTCAATTTTTCACATGCATTTAAGGAATGCTTGTATTTGGATGCTTTCCTTTGTACGAAGTAAATCTCAAACTGGCTTGTGAATTGTCTCGCAAACAGATAGAGATCATGTCATTGTGAGTTAACTCAAATTGATCTTATTCTTCTCTGTTCCTTCAATAACTGCAAGGCTATACTAATTCATAAAGCACCAGACATTTCTATGCTGCCATGAGGGCGGTATAAGAAAGGAAGAAGAAACTACTTCTAGAAATAATCCTGGGTATGTGCCTGGCATCCTCTAGTAGAGATGGTTTACACTACCCTCACCTGTGCTTTTCCATGATGTTTAAAGTCAACTCTTTCTTAATGAAACTCCTTATCCCACTTAGCAAGTTAGGCAAACTACCTCTAGAAAATGTTCATCCTGACCATCTTTATTAACTAAAATTCTCAAGGTCATTTTCATTTTTATAGCTTCCTCACTGACCTCACACTGCCATATTATTGAGTTTATGTCTTAGTGTCTGCTCATTGTTAATTTCCATAGAAAATATTATACACATACAAAAAAATAAACTTTTGGGGTTTTTCTGAAAGTATTTGTTTAATCTGTAGACATTTAATGGACTGCCTTCCGGCTAAAAAAAATCTAGAAAGTGAAACTGTTTTTACAATACCATCACCTCAACTGAAAATAAAAATCTTTTAAAATTAAAAAAAATCTTGGGTCACAATCTGTAAACAATGCTAATTCTCTTGGAGAAAAAAGCCCAAGTCACCAAACAAAACAAAAACAACCCCATTTGTAAATAAATTTCAGAAAGACTTCGTAAGCAAGCCTGTCACTCTTACTAGGGCTATATACCCTCATCTCATAGAGTCTTATTAAATACTTAAAAGAAATTAATACGGTCCTAAGTTTTCCATATGGTGGAAATTAATTTTTGAGGAAGTTCCCCTTTTCCTCATCCTTCAAATTAGAATGCTATCATTTACATGTGGATTTAATTTTCCTGTTTTTAATTTTCTTAAAAGAGACTGCCATGTGGTAGAGCTAAACATCTTTAGTTGAACTTGGGTTTTAATGTTACTTTTTGTCTGGTCTTAGGTCTGTATAAGTGAATGTAAAACAGTTGCTGTAATGTGATGTGTAACATGATAAGATGATTTGGCTAGGTCTTTTCCCATTAAAATTGTATCATTTCTTTGTGGATATATTCTGTGTCAAGATAAGAGAGGAGCATATGCTTGAGAAAGCAGCATATCAGCAACATTTTCTAAGTCACTCTGCCAAAATGAAAAGCTAATGCTTTCACAGAATTGGCAAGAATGAACATTTAAAATGAACCATTCAACCTATAGCATTCATACAGTCAAGAGAGGAAAATGGAAATAATAAATAACAAGCAAAAAAAAAAAAAGGACACTAGACACTATTTATACTCAGACATAAAAATAGATCATACAACAGGAAATCATTAAGAAAGATACAAACTAGACATCTTAAACTCAGCTATGTTCTTTTCAAGCAATAATTGTGAACAAAGGGGCTGTTTGGGCTGGCTACTAAATGGAACTGTACACACTTCTCTCATTACATAAGATGGATTTAAAATACCTTAATATTTTCTTTATGCATTAGCAATTTAATAAAACTGAGATGAAAACGATGCCTCTTAACTCCAGACCTGCTCTTCCATTATGTTCTCTCTTTGTACTTTACTTGAGGTATTCTTAACCACTGTTTCTTGGCCATATTCTTTCTCAGAGTAACTTGTCTCTGAAGCATGCGGTTTGGTGTGTGTATAGTTATATTTACCACTAACTACCAGTATTAACCATTGAGGATGCTATTTTGTCACTCTTTTCTTGGTTCTTTTTGAAGTGCTTAAGATTTCTCCTATTATTTCAGGGTTTGCAGTTGTTCATAACTGAGTGCCAGATAAGTCTGCACCATAAATTTCTGTAAATCTAGAGCAGCCCTTCTCACTCCAGTACTATGGACATTTTGAGCTTGATAATTCTGTTGTGATGGATTCCCTGTGCATCCTAGGATGCTTAGCAACATCCCTCACCTATACCCACTACATGTCCCTGAGTCCAGCTGTGACTATCAAAGCTGTCTCTCTATTTTGTCAAATGTCCCAGAGTGGTAACTACTTATCTAGGGTATATCTGTGATTTTACCAGTTTAAGGTAATGATACTTATTACAAAAGAAAGACTCTTAGACCTATCACCGTAAGAGAGAACAAAGTATGACAGAACACTGAGGAAGAATAGCTGCACCCATTGAGTACCTGACTTCAAACTATACAGTTTGTATTTTTCAATCTCATGAAGTTTGTTTCCTTTATGGACCATCCTCTAAATTTTCCACATCTCTGAGAAGTTGAAAGCCAAAATAAAACACAATACTCTAAAGGGAACACAGTTTATCTAATGGAGATGCCTCTTCAATTCTCTATCCTATTAAAAGGGATTAGTTGAGAGAATTTAGGCTGTTGTCAGACTGGCTAACAATAAATGTCAAACGTAGAAAAAATATTTTTCATTATAAATGTCTAACAGCTTTATGAAAGAAAAGTAGTTAAGCATAAATTCAAAGTTAGAAGAAGAGTACTAAACAAAAGAATTTTTCTTTGGTTATACAAATGATTCCAAAGAGGACAGATAAGAAATATTCAATTTCAGTCCAAGTGGTATATGTACAAATGTCTGGAGTCTTTTTTTTTTTTTAATTAAAAAGGTTAAAAAAGGGTGTAATTTATTATTCAAGAATACTGATGAATGGCTGGGCACAGTGGCTCATGCCTGTAATCCCAGCACTTTGGGAGGCCGAGGCGGGCGGATCACAAGGTCAGGAGTTGGAGAGCAGCCTGGCCGACATAGTGAAACCCTGTCTCTACTAAAAATACAAAAAATTAGCTGGGCGTGGTGGTGGGTGCCTGTAATCCCAGCTACTCGGGAGACTGAGGCAGGAGAAACACTTGAACCTGGGAGGCGGAGCTTGCAGTGAGCGGAGATCGTGCCACTGCACTCCAGCCTGGGCAACACTGCAAGACTCCATCTCCAAAAAAAAAAAAAATACTGATGAATGATGCAATAAAATACATGTTAATTGATTCACTTAATCATTTGAGAGTCTACTATGTGCTGGGTACCGTGTTAAATGTTACATATACAGGGTGAATGGATAGGAGTATATTATTAACTATAAAAACATGTATGATGCTACTAATCTCTTATCATGGAAAGTTGTAAGACAACCACATCTACCTTAACTTTAATTGCTTCTTGGCCTTTTAGCTAAGATCAAGTGTAGTACTTTAACTCGAGTCAAACAGTTCGGCTATGACCACATGGGTTCAATAGACAAAACAGTTAAACATTCTGTTATTTAAATAGGGCAATAAAGTGATTATGTTCAGATAGCTGCTCAGAAAGACTTTCATTAGATGGGAATACATCCTAGTTATCAAAATGGTATACATTATACACAACAGCATGCTCTATACTTCTATACTATCAACATGTGTGCATAAAACCACATACATTTATTTCCCCCAATACCAAGAATGCATGGTATTTGATATCTAAATTAGAAAGATTTTCTGTCTCTGTGTTAATGAAGTAGCCACCAAATCTAGTTTTATTCTTTTTTTATTTTGAGACAGAGTCTCACTCTGTCGCCCAGGATGGGGCACAGTGGTGTGATCTGGCTCACTGCAACCTTCGCCTCTCGGGTTCAAGAGATCCTTCTGCCTCAGCCTCCTGAGTAGCTGGGATTACAGGTGTGCATGCCCAGCTAACTTTTAGTAGAGACAGGGTTTCATCATGTTGGCCAGACTGGTCTCAAACTCCTGACCTCAGGTAATCCTCCTGCCTTGGCCTCAAAAAGTGCTGGGACTACAGGCGTGAGCCACCACGCCTGGCCCAAATGTGGTTTTAAATAGCATAAGGAAAAGAGCTTGGTACAACTTATAAACTTTTGCGAAAATGCATAAAATTGGGAAGCCTGCCCTTTAAAAATTAACATTTGACTTGTGAGATTATAACCTAAGTAAATTGGTCAACAATTTACAGCTGAAGAAATGGAGGGAGATTATAGACACTTACCAATTCTGGCACACTTCCAAAATATACCCAACAATCTGCATAGAATAAAAAAAGAAAAAAAGTAGCTATTGATTACTCGGAAAGGTAAATTATTCTCTTGATATCATATAGGGAATTAATTGTATATTAACATATTAACCTTTAACACTTTGCTTCAAATTTGAAATCTCCTTATTTGATGTTGAGCCACCATTCATGTATGAAAGTAGGACACAATGACATATCAACCATCAATGTACAGAAACTGCTATGAAATGGAATATAAATAGTGTCATAGGTCAAATCCAGGGCAAATTAGTGAGAGTGGCAAAAATTTGCATAAGGGCTTACTATTCAGTTGATTTACTCTACTTTCAAAAGCAGAAAATGTATATGGCAATTTAAGCATCAATTTTGATAAAATGTTAAATGAACATTTTTTGGTTGAATGTGACACCAAAAACACTCTTATAATAAACTTTAATTTCTTACAGAATGTAGCTCTAAAGTTAAATAATCTATAATAATGAATTCCAATGATGGTATTTACTTATCTGTGTCATTTACTAAGAAAGAATTAAAAATGTGCCTATATTTTCAATATAAGTAGAAAATCTTCTAGTTTAAAGGACACTCTATGTGAATTCACTAAATATGGCATTTAAAGCACATACTCTGGGAATAAGTATTAGAATGGAGATATATATTTCAACTGTATGAATGAATATATTATGAATTACATATTATATGGAGTAATCACTTATTTGGCATGTATAACAAATCATCTTTAAAAAAAGACCGAATCATCAATGAATAGAGATATCTTAAAAAATAACACTAAGGACACTACTTAGTTGGTCTGACAAAGTAAAAGAATTATAAATAGTGTCACATATGGTTGCAAATTAAGATAAATTAATATTATGTTACGTAAATTCGAATTATTATCTCAAGAAAATCAGAATACTTAAATTCCAGAAAAATTTATAGTATACTTTTTTTTTTTTTTTTACCAAAAGAGATGGCTGGCTAGTGAATCATTACATCTGAATGGGTAAGACTAACAGAAAATTCTGGTTCAGTTAAGTTCTATATATGTTCCTCCTCTGAAGTATAACTTCCTGACCTCAAAGCAAAAGGTCTCTTAGCCTATCAACCATCAATGTATAGAAACTGCTATGAACTGGAATATACATAGTTTAGATTAAATGGAATTAAGCAAAAACATGAGTTTATTTCAAAGTATGAATATTCTGACAGGCTAAACAATTTTACCATAGAAATAAAATGACAAAGCCCATATACATTCCTGAAAATAAGCTAAAATAAAGGCCAAATTATGCTTAAATTAAATCCTACTCACTGGTTGCGTAACTGTGAGCAAGGTATTGTATCTCTTTAACAAAAGGACCCACCCTCAAAGGGTTGTTATGAGGATGAAATGAGTGATTACACGGAAAGTCCTTAGAATGGTGACTTAGATGTACTGTGTTCATATATAGGCTAAGGATACATGTGATAACTCTAGGTATCACTTAAAATTGGCTAACATTTCTTCATCAAACAATGGAATAGGTTAGGCATTTGCAAAGCCATGGCTCCTTCATTCTAGAACCCACTGAAAACCACAAGATCACAAACTCAAGGTCTTTTTGGGTCTAATATTCTAGAAGTAACAAAATATCATTAAGAAACTGGTACAACAGGATTAACATATTAACAGCTTTTATAAATGAGTAAAGAACCCTAACTTGGTAACTCAGAGACTTAGCAGCACCACTTTGGTTTTTTCCACATATTTCTCTACCTAGATATATTTCTGTAATACCCCAATTTTACTTACACATGCACACACACACACACACGAACCCTGTTAGTTGATTTAAAAAATGTAATTACGTTGCTTAGTTATTATGGCTAAATACCAATAAGTATATTTGCTGATAATGCTATCAGGTCTATGAAACCAGGATAAAGACCATGTAGTAATCTTTTTTTCTGCTGCTTAGTTCTATATTATTTGAAGTAGCAAAAACTGAAGTTATTTTAAACAGTGAAGTCATCAAGAACTTGCTTTATCCAATCTGTCTAGATATCTCCACCTAAGCATGGTATATATTCTCAGTATAATAAAAGATTACGAGTCTCATAAAAACATGTAATTTTAACAGAAAGAGACTAGGCCTATAAAATTTTCTATACAAAATAATTCTTAGTTATAAATCAACATAAAATGGTGCTTAACACGTATATAAGTAGAAATAAAGGTTTTAAAAAAAGCTTTCAAACAGTTGACTGTATTAGTACATATTTTAAAATGTAAAAATAGGCATGCTCTTTTTGGTCTTTTATGTTGGAGAAATATACTACCACTCAACCTTTACTAGAAGGTTGGCAGCCCTGAGAACTCCTTTGTTAATGTAGCATGTTATGAACATATTCCTGCTCCCAAGGAATGAGAAGCAGACATTTCCACATGCAACCTACTTGCTTTTGAAGAAGAATTTTCGTGATAGCATAGGGAAAGTATTCTACTACTATGTAATTATTCTTTAATGAGATAAACACTTAAATATCTTAGATGGACATTATGCATTATATTAGAATTCCAATAAAGTCATCAATAGGAATAAGTGTTTACTAGAGTCTACCATATGCTTTAATTCTAAGTTTACAGTTGGCGGGTACAGAAGGGAAAGATACAATGAAACTGTCTACTTGGATAGAAAGACTTCATGCACAGCCAAGCAACAAATAACGTAATTTCAACAAATGGGTGAATACTGAAGAATAAATTCAACAGGACTTTACTGAAAAAGGTGGAATGAAGAGAAGACAGTGTCTACAAGGAGATGGAGTATTATCATAAAAACTGATGGACAACTAACATCTATTTTCACCTTCAGTAGGTTAAATCCCTCATGCGATTTTTTACTCTTAACACATTTTAGGTCACTTCTGAAATTTACCTTTTAATTTAGTAAGATATTGTGAATATAAAGTTTTTGAATTTTTAACAGGAAGAAAATGAAAAAAGTTATTATAAAACCAAATTACATGTAGGAATTAAATTATCTAATAATTTATATGTTAACTTACATTGAACATTTGTAAGAACTAATTTGGGTGATTAGACATCATTAGTAACATACCCAGTTTTATTTCTGTCCAGGAGGCTGGGTGCCAAGGATCGAATATAAGCACAGGTACATATAAGCAGCAAGATTACAGTCAATAGACTCTGAAAATTGAAAATGGCAGACTAAAAAGAAAAAAAAAAAAGAAAAATTAATATCAAGAAAAACTGCATAGGTAAAAAATGTTTGACAATTCCACATTTAGAGTCATGTTTTTATTTCTTCAAGAAGGCAAGCAGAATGACAAGTCTGGCAACACTTAAAACCAGAATCTTGAGGTCTTCTACAGTCTTCAAGCTCTGCCAATAGCTGGTTTTATGGCCTTAGCAGAATTACTAGCTTTTCTAAGTCTTTGGCTGGGCGGAGAATGGGCAGACAGACTTAAATGCTAGCTAAGTTTCTTTTAATTCTGAATTTTTTTAAGGATAAACATCCTTTAAATTTAAGCTATAATTTTCCATGAGTTGACAAATACTAGGCTAATAGATTTTGGAGAAAGAAAGCAAGCACCTGTACTTTCACTGTTGGATTTTTAAAAGTTATTCATTACAGGTTGAACATCTCTAATCCAAAATCCAAAATGTTCCAAAATCAAAATTTTTTGAGTGCCAAAATGATGCTAAAAAAAAAATGTTCATTGGAGCATTTTGGATTTCTGATTAGAGATGCTCAACGAGTAAGTATAATGCAATTATTCCAAAATCCCACCAAAAATTTGAAATCCAAAACACTCCTGGCTCCAAGCATTTTGGAAAAAAGATACTTAGCTTGTATTTAATAGTTTGAGTCTTATTCCAAAGTTAAAATTTAACACAAGAGTCATAAGAAACCATAAGTTTCATAAGTTTCCACAGTCAAACAAAATCATAGGTTTCCAGTTAAAGTAAATGGAGGTGGACTTATTCTATTCAAAATTCAGCTCTAGCATCACCTTTTTAAGGAAGTTTCCTTGAATCCATCTGCCTCCCTTCTCTTATTTTATGTAGAACTCTCTTTTCTAGTCTCATAGCAAACTGTTACCTTTATTATAATATTCATTTCTGAAGGGTAGACATTGTTATCAGATTATCAGACTCTGAATCTCCAGCACCAATCATATGCCTGTCTCACACTAGAAGCCCAATAAGAGAGAGTTGAAAAAAATAAAATGAAATTAAGAAAGTGCAAGAATATTACTGTGTATATATAACAAAGAATAACATTTTCATCATATACAGGGAGATAAAATATGTCAATCTCACACAACAGCCAGCAATATGCTTGTTTAGTAAACTTAGAGGCACCTTCTAAAAAACAAACAAAAAAATCAGGAATGAAACAAAGAATGACTCATGAGAAAACTTAGTTACACAAAATTGGTACTTGCGGCTGAGTGCTTACTTGAAAAGTCCTAAAGAATTTAGTGAAAAACAGTTATAGATCTTAAGGAAATTGAGTAAGGTGGCTGGGTACATAATTAAAATATATAAATCAATAGCCTTCATAATCATATTATCATTCAGGAGAAAGACAATGGAAAAAAGATAGCATCCAGAACGAACAGCTAAAATATCTAGGAATAAGCTTAACAAGAAATGTGCAACATTGGCATCAAAGAAAAAAACTGACAAAATCTTAAAACATATGGAAGAACATAAAAGTAGAAGAGACTGTTGCTATGGTTTAGAAATGGTTTTTCATCCCTACCAAAGCTCAGATTGAAATTTGATCCCCAGTAAGGTAGTGTTGGGAAGTGGGGCCTAGTGGGAGGTGTTTGGGTTTGGGGACGGGGTGGTGGGGGGTAGATCTCCCATGAATGTCAGGGTGCTCTTCTCATTAGTGAGATCTCACAAGACTGGATTAGTTTTCCAAGAAATGAATTCTTTCCGGAGAGAGCACGTTGTTATAAAGCCATGATGCTCCTCCCTCCTTTTCACCAGGTCTGTTTCCCCTTTGACCTTCTCAGCCATGTTGTGATGCAACATAAAAGCCCTTCCCAGGAGGGCCAAGCCCTACTACTCTTAGCCTGCACAACTGAGAGCTAAGTGACCCTTTTTTCTTAACCAATTACCCAATTTCAGTTTTTTTTTAAATAGCAACATAACATGGATTAAGAAACCTGGTATGCCAGATTTTTATATTGGAAGGCAACATTGTAAAGACAACCTATAAATTTAAAGTGAACCCAATACCAACAAGTTATCTTTTAAACAGACAACTAATTCTGAAGTTCATATGGAAAAAATAAGGCAAGAATAGCCAGGAGAATCTTAAAAACAAAAAAATGGACACTAGAAACTGTTCCAATGTCATTTGAATCTTTTCTATATTTTTATGATAAATACATGCAAACTACTGAAAAAATTAAAAAACTATATACATTATTTACCAATATTCTCAAGGACAAAAAGTGCTTATGCACAATGCTAAGCAGTAGGCAAAAGGGGATCAAAGATTTCAGACAGCACATCTTAAGGTATGTAAACTTTTATGCAAAGAAAGTGTGAAAATGCTGTGATTATCTGTGGATAGTTTTTTGGTGGGGGGTGGAGGGACAGAGTCTTGCTCTACTGCCCAGGCTGAAGTGCAGTGGTGGGATCTTGGCTCACTGCAACCTCCACCTCGTGGGTTCAAGTGATTCTCCTGCCTCAGTCTCCCCAGTAGCTAGGATTACAGTCATGCTCCACTACGCCTGGCTAAATTTTGTATTTTTTTTTTTTTAGTAGAGACAGGGTTTCGCTGTGTTGGCCAGGCTGGACTCAAACTCTTGATCTCAAGCGATCTGCCCACCTTGGCCTCCTAAAGTGCTGGGATTACAGGCGTGAGCCATCTCTAGATAGTTTTTAATCTAATTCTCAACTTTTCTAGATTTCTCAAATTGTCTAAGTGACACTTTTATGGTCTGAAAAAGACAAAAATGATTTGTAATTACCAGTTTAATACTTGTTTTTCTATGCATTATTTTTTCATAGATATAACAAAGATAAAATTTAATGTATCTTGGGTTTTAATTAAATTGGGTTTTAATCTTAAACCTGTGAAAGCCAGTGATACACATTTTATAACATAAATCAATGAATTAGCTCATGATCAATTGTAGATAAAAAGCATGGTATCTCACAATGCTTATCTTTCAAAGGTCATATTTTGAATATGTATGTGAATATATTAATAAATAATATTGGATAATGACCTCATAGAAAATAAAGCAGATTTCCTCCCAACATAACTAAATGTGTATTTGGTATCCACTTTGTCTGAGAAATGAGGCAGTGGGGATTAAAAAAAAGGCACATGGTATGATTCCTTCCCTACAGGAGTTTATGGCTAACAATAGCAATTACTGATATTCACTGAGTACTTGTTTTATGTTATCCTCATGTATCTGGGGTAAATATTACCTGAATTTTATTCATGATTGTTATTACCTGTATTTTATACATGAGACTGAGGCACACAGCAGTTATAATCAAGTAATCAAGTGAAAACAGAGCATGTACTTTAAAAAGTAAATAGTAACTCATTGTTGAATGTGGAAGTGAGTTATGCAGACAAAAAATGCCATTTTTGTAAGAAAAAGTCAGGAAAAGCTTCATGTAGAAAGCAGGAACGGAGTCAAACCTTGAAAGGGCACCATTCAGATGGGCAAATAGCAAGCTCCAGAAGAGAAAAAAAAATGTGGGAAAAAAACCCTACAGAAAAAGTCATTGGCACGTTCAGGGAATAATGAGAATCTTACTGTATTTTAAGCAAAAGATTCCTACAGTAAAATGGTTGGAAAACAAATCTTCAAAGTAGGTTTATCATTTTCCTAATGCAGTATCTAAATTCATGACTTTGTAATGTGTTCTCTTTCCTTCTCCAAATGTGTTTTTAAAGAAAACATGCTTAAATGATATAATGTTCAGGATTGGTTTCTAAATAATCCAGTGCATGTGTGGTGGGAGAGGGGTAGGGTTGATGATAAAATGCTGAGAATATGAGGGTTCATTATAGGCTTCTACCTCTTTATGTTTGAATGTTTTCATAATAGAAGATAAAAAGGCACTTAAAAACATGCCTATTAGGAAAGTAGAGTGTGTATATACGTTTGTGTGTGAAGCCATTTACAAAAGAAAACCATTTACAAGTATGAAATATATGATATATACAACTTTGTTCTGGGGGTTTAAAGCCTCTAAAGTTTAAAACAAATAATCTTAGGTGGTAAGTCTTTTAGATGTACTCAGACTCTGGTCAAAAGTGTGTTTCTAACTTACGGACATTAGCCTGCCACCTATAGCATTCCCCTTAATGCTTAGCATCTGTTGTCTGGTGACATAAAATTTTAGTCTCAGGGTTAAAGGAAACAGATGTTCCTCTTCAGTGAAAAAATAATTGCAATTTTCAACAGAAAAATGTTATTAAAAGGGAAAGGAGGAATCTAAGAAAAGGTAAGCATATTTAATCACAAAACAGAGGAAAAGATGATTAAAAGGTGGTAAGTCAAATTCATTTACCTTGTTTAATTTTTTTCAGGGCCTTTAAGTCATGAAACCTTTTCCAAGGTACTCTATTGAGTTTTGCACATGCTATCTGTTCTTGCCTGCTTGGTGAACTGACTCATGCGTCCAATCTCAACTCAAGATTCACCTCCTCTGATGTCTTTCCTGTTCCCACTCACTATACCAAGCAGAGTCAGGATTTTTGTATGTGCATAATACATACACATAACAATGTGTATGTTATAGAACACATCATACTGTACTGTGATTGTCTATTCTATTGAGGTTTTCATCAATCCCCTGTGACTATTAAAATATAGTACACAGAGAAGTCACTGAAAAGTGTCAAATGAACAGGAACTTGAACGCAACTGGCAATAATGAACATTTTAACAAATCCAAGAGCATACTTGGATTCCAAAGAAAAAATACACATTCAAAAACCAGTGTAGATCAGATTGCTGAATACAGTATTTTGTTAACTCTTCAAGAGAAACCTCCATGTATGGCTTTGCATATATGCTTACTTCTCAAGAATATTTTGGAAAATCAAGTAGAAAGATGCAAATTTCCTTATATTTATGTTAAGGACCTAGGCTGTAGGGTAAAATAAAGACCTGAGGTAATTTCCATTCAGTATCCACATCTTCTATCACCTCCTGGAATTCAGATTTTCTATTCTATCAAGCAGCAAGCTTTGAAGGTGCTTGCACACTGGAAAGTGTGTGTTCTTCTGACTTCTTTTAATTCTTAAGAGATATACACTTTCAAAAGATCTGTACGACTGAGTACGCAGGTTCTGTAAGACTGAGTACGCAGGTTATCTTGACCATTACTCTGAGAGCTATGTCATTCTTCTAAAACATGGCAATGGAGGCCTCCAAACGATTTGTCATCAAGGGCTCTTTTACTAACCCTCTGCATTGTAGACTTATCTGACAACTCATAATCAATAAGATCTTTTGATATGCTTGAAACAACTAGTGTTATTGAACTGAGTTAATTTACCCAAACCGGAAGGATATAAACTTGAGTCAGTTACTTTATTTGATCATTTTGAAGTAAATCACATTTGGTTAGGTGTTTTGAAATAATAAAAATAATTCACAGACTTTATTTGGCCACCACTACAGGAGATGCAATAATTAATCAATGAATAGATGCAAGGTCAATACAAAGCTAAGGAAGGGGTCTAGACATGAAATTACTTACAATGTTGACAAACCTCTAAAAAATGTTCTATTTTCAAGTCTATTTGAAAAATTAGTTTTTAGATTTTTAAAATCATTTTATTTATTAAGATGAAATTTCTCATTTTCAGAGTCATTTCTGAACACTAAAATTATATTCATTAACTCTGATTATAAGTAAGAATTCAATATAGGAGATTTTTAAAAAAGACGAATAAAATACTTCTAAGTCTAAGAGCTCAAGGTATTTATTAACAAAACTTTCAAATAAGAAATCTTAAAAAGAAACCACTGAAAACATTAGGAATAGAAGAAGGAAAAAAGGAATTATCCAAGCAATATAAAAATGCAAAAAGAAAGAAACAATGAGAAAAGCAGAAGAAATATACACATCAATATGCTAAACAAGCTGTGGCTAGAGTGCTTAATGACTGGTTATTAAGCATACTTAATCTGCAGAAAGGGGTGACTAAATCTACAGTACTTTTATTAGTCTTGGATCACTTGGGCACTAAACAAATTGTTTAGCAAATTTGTTGATTAAGGGGCTTATTTATACATAACACTGTGTTGAAGCTTCAAATGTTGACTGCCTCCTATATGGGGAATAAATTTTTACTGACATACTAATTCCTCCAGCTTTAAAACAAAAATTAATATAAAAGACAACATTTAAAAACTCCAAATAGTAACAATTTTACTTGTATTAATACTTACTTCTTTTACATGAAACTAGTTTATCCCTTTTTGGGGGTGGAAGGGAACACAGAAATGACACTCCTGACCTAATTGTGATCAAAATTATTCAGCATTAGAAAAGTGGGTCAGCATTTATCATTCAGAAAATCTAGGTCAGGTCAGCATTTTCCAACTAGTCTCTTAAAATGCAAAACATGAAAATGCAAGAATGTTAGCCTGCATATGAATGCACAAACACACATATATATAATTTGCCCAAAAAAAGTGACCAGAATTGGTTGAAAAGATTTCCACTAATACATAAAAATTATCAACATTTTCTTTTGGCATTATTAGCGTATAAATTTAAACTTTGTTGCTTATCACGTGGTAGGGTGATGATATTGCACCAAATAGGCAAGTAACCTCAGTTTAATTTGAGAGCAAGAAATCAGGCTTGATTAATATTTAGATATGAACCCATCACCCATCTCTTCTCAGCAACAGTGGCCACAAAATATTTGGGTTAATGAAGTAATCCAAGTATAAAAATTTGACCTTAGGTGAATCAACATCTCACATCTCCACTTGTCAGTTTCATTTCATTTGTAAAATGTGGGGGCTGGATTAAACAACCATTTGTTCTCACCAGTCATATTTTAAAAATGTACAGAGACATTTTCTACTTAATACTTTCCATTTAACAACTTTCATGGATATGATGAGTAAAACTACAGTACAGAGTAGAAGCGCTTGAACTCTGTTTTCCACTGGCAACACTGATTTTGTAGTTATTTTCATCTCATTATCATGGTACCTACAATTAATTTGCTGTTTGTGCTGCTTTGTTTTGGAGCTATTTTATATAAACCTCAGATCTAAAGATAAGGCAAAAGGGTGTCAAGAGTTAGAGAAGGCATACGCAAAACAATGATAAATGGTAGAGTGAAAAAAAATTAGAATAAATGCTCCATATATGTCTTTGATAAAAAGGTTGGACAAGAGACAGTATTCTGAAGGAAAAGAGCAAAGCCTGCTGTAAAGTCCTCTGACCTTGCAATCAAGAAAAAAACAAAAACTGATAAAATGTCCTATCATATGGTATGAAATCTAACTGCTTATTAGAACCACTTGGAGCTTAAAAAGCCATCATTGCCCAGAAATTTGGATTTAACTGGTCTGGGCACCTACAGTTTCTTAAAATTCCCTGAAAGCTTTTTTTTGAGATGGAGTCTCACTCTGTTGCCCAGACTGGAGTGCAGTGGCATGATCTCGGCTCATTGCAACCTCCACCCCTTGGGTTCAAGCAATTATCCTGCCTCAGCCTCCCGAGCAGCTGGGACTACAGGTGCACGCCACCAAGCCCGGCTAGTTTTTTTTGTATTTTTAGTAGAAATGGGGTTTCACCATGTTGGTCAGGCTAGTCTCGAATGCCTGCCTCAGCCTCCTGGAAGTTTTTCTTTGCAATCAGTATTCAAAAGCTTTGCTAGAGAAGATCAGCACCCACATCAGATTCCTATTAGCCTAATGAAGTGGTTATCAAAGGTGTGGTTCATGGAACCCTTTCATGGGTTCATAAGATCAGAACTATTTTTATAATACTAAGATACTTGCCTTTTAACTGTGATGCCATTTTCATGGATGATGCAAAAGCAATATTAGCAACAGAATTATCTGAACTGCTACCTCCTCACCCACTCCTGACATAAAAAATTTGCTTTTCTTAATATTTTTGTGCAATTAATGGTATTGTTGCATAGTTGAAAGGGCACAGCATTTCGTGACAAATTGGTTCCGTTTAAATCTTAGCTCTGCTATTTATAAGCAGTGTGATGTTGGGCAAGACACTTGGCTCTCCGCATCTGTTTCTTCATATGAAAAATGTGGCCAATAATACGACTTTAATAAAACCTTGTATGTAAAATAAAACACCTGTCAGAGTAGGTGCTTAACGAAAACAGTAAGCCCTCACTTAACGTCATCCACAGGTCCTTGGAAAATGCAACTTTAAGCCAAAAGATATATAACAAAAAAAATTTACCATAGGCGAATTGATATAAACAAGAGTTAAGTTCCGATGGCATATTTCTAGTCACAAAAGCATCACCAAACTTCCAAATCAATATCAAAACCCTTCTAATATTCAACACTGAAGTAAATGTGAGTTATACATCCACTTAAGAAAGATTAATAAAAACAAGTAAGATAGCTGGCTATTTGCTATTTCAGTTCAGTGTTGACGGTGCCGGGAGCCATCCCAGTAGCCTGGAGTATAGGACATCATTCCAGTGCAGAGCACTCAAACTGGGAGAGTGTAGACACCTCAACAAACCCATTGTATATATCTCTGGGATGTAGAAGGGAACTGGAGTACCAAGAGAAAATCCATGCAGACATGGGAAGAACAGACATGAAGACAACGTGCAATTGGGAATGGAGTTTCTTCCTCATACACGTTATTGAGGATCTGCTGTATTTCTTTCCCATCCAATAAATCATCCAAGCTGGAGCTGTGCTTCATCACCCTTCATTAAGTATCTTCAAAACGATTTTCCTAGTTTTCCTTTCCTTTCAACCCAACTGCTCATCAGAGTTGAGACATTCAATCATTGTATACCTGAACTACAGCACTTGTTTTCAAGCTGGTCTCCCAGATTCTAATCTTCCTCCATTTAAATATACTCTATGTTGTTACCAGTTGGTTTTCTAAAATGCACACCTTTTATTTCCCTGCTCCAAAGCCTTTATCAAGTAAGCAATTAAACATCATCAAAATATAAAGTCTTTGGCATGGCACAAAGCTCTTCAAAATCTGGCCCCAATCTTTCTAGCCTCATCTATCACCAGTCCACTATACTTGACTTCTTTTTATTCCTGCCACATTAAGGCTCCATGCAACTATTGAACTTCATGCCTTTTGTTCCCATAACTGCCATTTCCTTTATCTACGGGATAGAGATTGCTGTCCCACCTCTAGCTAATGACTCCTTCCCTAATACTCTTTAAAGTACAGGTGAGAGAGAATTACTTCTTTCTTGGGGACATCTCTCAAGCAGTTCCCAGCCAGTACTACTCCTTCCACTGTGTTTAATGATTTTCTACATATCTTCTGCTATAAGAGGAGAGAAAATACTTCACATCTATTCTCTGGAGACTCAGTTTAATTATGAAATGTGGGCAATCATTCCTGCTTTGCAGAGTTTGTGAAAATCATTTAGTGCACCAAGAAAAAGACATGAAAATAAACTCCCTTAGAGTTAACCAAGTAAAGGTTCGGAACTGGAAATGATTCTAACTCTGTTTGGCTCAGTCTAAACCCATGCTCTCTCTACTACATGTGTTGTCTTGCTACAACATAGCAGACAACAGATGGAATTTACTTATTTAATAATTTCCCCCACTGGACTGTGAAATCCTTGAAGACACTGAGCATGTTTGTATCCCCAGACTCTTTTTTTTTTTTTGAGATGGAGTTTCGCTCTTGTTGTCCAGGCTGGAGTGCAATGGCACAATCTCGACACACCGCAACCTCCACCTCCTGGGTTCAAGTGATTCTCCTGCCTCAGCCTCCCAAGTAGCTGGGATTACAGGCATGTGCCACCACGCCCGGCTAATTTTTTATTTTTAGTAGAGATGGGGTTTCTCCACACTGGTCAGGCTGGTCTCCAACTCCCGACCTCAGTTGATCTACCCACCTTGGCCTCCCAAAGTGCTGAGATTACAGGCCCAGACTCTTAATGGAGTAATAACTCCAGCTGGCACTGTGACTGTAGAGATTAAAATACCTAGTCTTTAAGAATTCTGCCTAGAGAGGGAGAAATGCAGGCAACACCTTATTGCTGTTTTCTGTGAAAAGGGTTATGCTAGAGGGATACTGGAAGTATACATATGAACTAGGAATATCCCTATAGATACCTAAAGAGAGTAGAAGAAAATAGAAGGGGTTAAGGGAGGCTTTTTGGAAAGAGATGAGACATGAGAGAAATGTTGAAGGATGTTAGGTGTTGGGGGGAACAAGGCATTCTGAAATTCTTTAAAAGTATTAATTCACAAGTGCTACAATTACTGTTCATGCTGACAGTTGTAAATTATTACTGCTGATAAACATTTTATCCTTGAAATGCTTTTTAAAAAGATTCTTGGCTGGGGACGGTGGCTCACGCCTGTAATCCCAGCACTTTGGGAGGCTGAGGTGGGAGGATCACGAGGTCAAGAGATCGAGACCATCTTGGCCAACATGGTGAAACCTCGTCTCTACTAAAAATACAAAAATTAGCCAGGCGTGGTTGTGCACGCCTGTAGTCCCAGCTACTCGGGAGGCTGAGGCAGGAGAATTGCTTGAACCCAGGAAGCAGAGGTTGCAGTGAGCTGAGATTATGCCACTGCACTCCAGCCTGGGCAACAGAGGGAGACTCCATCTCAAAAAAAAAAAAAATCATTAAAATACAGTAATTCAGGTTTATTAAGTCATTACCATTGGGTTACCTCACAAATAAACTAAGTTTAGATGCGAACTCAAAGATACTGAGACACTAATCCATTTCTTAAGCTGCTAAGTTAGCCTTCTTGAAACCTCACTTCGTAGCTCTGCAAACAATGTACTTTTGACATCCCAAGCTCACAGGAATAAAAAACCACCTGCCAGTTGTTTCCGTTTTCCACCTATGTCTAATTTATGTACTTATATTTATAAGAAACAAATCACTAAGTCTTATTTCATCCTTAGTTATGTTGTGTTTCTATCGATAACAGCATGAAGATTTCGGGGACCTGGACATTAAAATAAGTTTGAGTACTGGCTTTACAATCTACTAGGTGTGATCCGAGGCAAGTCAGTCTCTTCATGTTTCACTTCTTTCACTTGTAAACATCTATTCAGAAGTTGCTGTGAACTTGATATTTCCATGCTTATAAACTGATTTTTTGAAAAGAGCCTGGTACATAGGACGTGATAATAAATGAAAGCATTTGCTACTTTTGGAAAAACAAGCATGACAAGATAGTTTATATACTGTTGATCTTAAGCACAGTATATGCATCTTATTTTTAGCTAGTCTGACAGTGAGATAATAAAAAGAGTTATCTTTGACTTGCACTACGAGTAGAAGAATTCAACTTCAGTTTCTAGAAAGATGTATAAGAATTAAGAGTGGCAGTCTTCCTAGTCTCAACTGCCATCTTCCCACCAGGTGGTAAATTCGTCCAGAGAAGAAAATGAATTATTGCTATATGGGATTCTGCAGCAACTTCTGTGAACATAGGCTCATAATTTTTCACCATGGAGACTCAAGCTTTTTGGAGTCATAGTTGTTTTTGGGTCTATTTGCAGGCATGCATCCTTTGTCCAGAAATATACATAACATTTGGCACATGGACCTGGAGGTAAAAGAGGAGGAAGGCCTGAGGCTAGACACCACTCCAATAAGTACATTAAGCTCCTAGAAGGGCAATCCACCTTTGCAGAGAACTCTTAACTATTAAAACCTATAGCTTGTAAAGCAGCATTTTCAAAGTTAAGAGAAGAAGGTGGAAGGGTCTTGAGAGGCTACTGACTAAACAGATGAAAATGAAGGTATGGAGTTTGGTGCCAAAAGAAACTCCCCCCAAAAATCAAACAATAACACCAGAGTAAAGCCCCTAGGGCGAGATAAGGAGTTGCAACAAAACAAGCGGAAACTCGAGAAGCGCTAATGCTTCAAAGGGTCAATGACCACACATAATCTACGTAGCCAACGTGTTAAAACACACCAACGCATTTTTTTTTCCTAAACAAAGTAGGAAAGCGGACTTTGCATGAGGGGCGGGCTGCCGACCCAGCAGTCTTCCTCGGACAGTCCGTCCTGATTCTCTCTGGTTGGCCGTGGAGGGACCACATGGCTCCAAGGCCTCTCAGCTCCGGGCCCACACACCCCGGGCTGCCGCACAAACTCCAGCCCTAGTCTAGATCCACAACCCCTTCTCGAAGATCAACCGCGACCTGGGAGCCCCACTTCTTACCATAGCGAGGCCGGCGATGCCGCAGCCACATCACCCTTCCGGGGCTCAGGCGGAAGAGGCTGCATGTCCCGTCTGCCCTTCTCGCCCTCTCCAGCCGTCCGGTTGGGCTTGTCACGGCACCGCCTACCAAGACGGGCGGTTAAGACACTAGGATAGGCTCCTCTCCACCGGAAAAGGCGGGATTTAGATCACGTCCCGCAGGCCGGCGGAAGTAGCTGATACTCTCATTGGTTGCAAAACCTTGATCTGTGAAAGCGGGCGTTTTGGAAGATACCGGAAGTAGAGTCACGGAGAGGTAGGATCCGGAAGTGGGGCTGCCTCTTTAAATAACAAAAATCTGAGGTTCTGTTCTTTTTATCTTTTTGCTTTCTTTTTAAAAAAGTTCCCTGCTACTTACCCCTAGAACTCCACAATGCGAGAATCCCCCTCAATTTGTGAGCTCCCGCGACTTCCTCTTGTGGGCTTTTGGGGATGCTAGGGTTCTCGGCATTATCCTCAGGGTGCGACCTGTTCACCCCCTTTTCAGTTTCTCCGTTTGCATCTGAGGGATTCTTGGGAATGCGAAGCACTTTTGAAATGCTCTGTGTTGGTTGTGGGATTGGGAGGACGGTTGAATCCAGAGGGTAGTGTTGAGTAGGCTGTTTGAGCATTTCCCCAGCACTGGCCTGTCCTTTCAATCCCCAGATATTGGTAAACTGTGGGTTCCAACCAGGCATCGAGGCTGAAACGTACTAGGCAATTTGAGGTCAGGAAAGAACTTTCTGTGGTAACCAATGGGAAGGAACTGCCGTTTGCGGACTGCAGCGATTGATTAGGTACTTTAAAGAGATCAACTGGCAAGACAAATGACAAGGCAACTTTTAATCAGTAGTAGTATTTAGCTTTTTCTGATTTTAATTATCCCATTAGGTGAGGTTCTACTACACACACACGTTTTTCTTTCTGCATTTTATCGATGGAGAAACAGGCGCTTTGACATGTTTGAATTTGCGTAGTTCTTGGAATTCTAATAAAGTATTAGAAATGAGAGTTTTTCACTCTTTGCCCCCTTATGGCAAGCTTTTGGTTCTAAATGTGTGGTGTATTTTTTCTCAGGCAGGAGAGAGTTCTTTTCAGAATGTTTTCAATTTTTTATGGACTTAGAAGGTGGATAGAGAGAAAGAGAGAAGGTAACTCACGTGAGATTTTGGTTTATGAACTGTATTCGGCCTATGAGACCCTTTTGTATTTAGGGCAACACAATGATTAGAAGATTTGGGATTCTGCTATTTGTGTTTACATTGTTCACTAGGGCACACAAAGGTTTTGTTTTAAACTATAACTAACTTGATATTTGAGTCTGTTATATTGAATTGTCAAGAGTTGGTCAAATACACAAATTAGCAAGTATTTACTGGGTGCCTGCTTTATTCATGGATCTTCAGATTGCAGCATAGGAACAAAGATGGTCTGTTCCTTTAAGGAATTTAATAAGGTTGGGGGAGAGGGGAATAAGAAAGGTATTTAAAAGATACAGTACTCTCCACCTAAGGATAAAAAAAGTCTTTTAATGTTCTGTCTTGTAATTCCTTTATATTATACCTTTTAGGTCTTGCCATTCAAATTAAACAAACCTGGTTTAGTTATGGAAATTATGTTGTGCAATTTATCGAGCTTGGCTTTTAGGGCAGTAAATGTGTCTGTAGACATAACTGCCCTTGGTTTCATGTGAAGATTGTCTTGATCTTTGTTACATATAAAGGTAATACTTCTGTATGAAGCTCTGCTTCAGGCTACCTGTGAAAAGCATCAGAAAGCTTAACTTGTTAGAGATCACAATTGATTTGCTATATCTATATATTTTAATTAATTTTAGGCTATGACTTCTTATGTACCTGAGCTTCAAAACAGTAAAGAACGGCATTGCCAGTTTTTAAGTTATCTATAGAGAAACACATATGCCAATAAATGAGGCTGAACAAATATGTATAATGTTTATTGCATTTATGTAAAACATCAAAGTTAATCTGACGTGGTGAGTTTTTTTTGGGAGGTGGTAGTTTAGCTCCATTGTCTTACATAAACCCCCTACTTTTTGGTTTTCAGATTATATCACAATTTCTAAAATCTTTCTGGCAGCTTTGCAGTGAATCCTCATTTAAAACCATCTTGGATCCTTTCCTTACTAGAAATAAAATCTGTCTGTGTTATTCCTTTGTTCAAAAATTATTATTTATTTTTATTTTTGAGACAGGATCTTGCTCTGTTGCCCAGGGTGGAGTGCAGTGGCACAATCATGACTCACTGCAGCCTCAACCTCCAGGGCAGAAGCGATCTATCCTCCTCCCTCAGTATCCCCAGTAACCGGGACCATGGTTGCATGCCACCATACTTGGCTAATTTTATTTTATTTTTTGTAGAGACAGGGCTCACTATGTTGCCTAGGCTGGTCTCAAACTCCTGGGCTCAAGTGATCCTCCCGCCTCGGCCTCCCAAAGTGCTGGGATTACAGGTGTAGGCCACCGCACCACGTCTGGCCTGTTCAAAAAGTATTATCTCACCTGCATCTGGAAGAATATTTCCAACTTTGGTTTCATGGGTATATTAAAATCGTATGTAAAAATAGTGGATATTTGTAGTTTTCTGTGGCGCCAGTGCACAGGTGTCCTCAGTGTTATGAGGATTACATGAGTTATTACAAGTAAATCATCTAGGCAAATGTTTGGCATACAGTAAGCACTCAGAAAGTGTTGGCTATTACTGTGCATGGCTTTGTCTTTGCTAAATTAAAAGTCCCTGGAGAGGAGGAATTATAATGGAGGAATGGTTGAATTGCATATATTAGGCACTAAATACAGTAGTCCCTCCTTATCTGAGGTTTTGATTTCTGCAGTTTCAGTTACCCATGATCAACCACAGTCTGAAAATATTAAGTAGAAAATTCCAGCCGGGTGCGGTGGCTCATGCCTGTAATTCCAGCACTTTGGGAGACCAAGGCGGGCAGATCACTTGAGGTCAGGAGTTTGAGACCAGCCTGGCCAACATGGTGAAACCCCATCTCTACTAATATACAAAAATTAGCCAGGCGTGGTGGCATGTGCCTGTAGTCCCAGCTAGTCAGGAGGCTGAGGCAGGAGAATCAATTGAACCCGGGAGGTGGAGGCTGCAGTGAGCCGAGATTGTGCCACTGTACTCCTGCGTGGGCAACAGAGCGAGACTCCATCTCAAAAAAAAAAAAAAAAATTCCAGAAATAATGCATACATTTTAAATAGCATGCCTTTCTGAGTTGTGATGAAATCTTATTCCATCCTATCCCATTCAGCCCGGGGCCATGAATCATCTCCTTGTTTAGCGTATCCCTGCTGTATAAGCTTCCTGCCTTTTAGTTGCTTGGTTATCAGATTGATGGAGGTGGTATCACAGTGCGTGTGTTCTAGGAATACTTATTTTACTTAATTATTGCTTCAAAGCACAAGAGTAACGACGCTGGCAATTTGGTTATGCCAAAGAGTAGCTGTAAAGTGCCTCTTTTAAGCAAAAAAAGGAAAGTTCTCCACTTAATAAGGAAGAAAAGAAATCCTATGTTGATGTTGTTAAGAACTATGGTAAGAACAAATCTATCTGTAAAATTGTGAATAAGCAAAAAGAAATTTATGCTAGTTTTACTGTCACACCTCAAACTGCCAAACTTATAGCCATAGTGCATTATAAAAGCTTAGTTAAGATAAAAAAGGAATTAAATTTGTGGTTAGAAAATGTGAACAGAAGCATGCTCAGATTGAAGGCAGTTGGATTCAGCCTCCTCACGGGGCCTTGGGATATACACCCTTGGATAAGGAGAGGACTGCTATAAAAGGTTTTAGTATTAAGTTGGTATTGCATTTGTATCACCAGACCACTTTCTCCCCATTTTCTCTTTTTACTTTGTTGCTAGTGTTAATGATAGGGTTGATTTACATTACCTTTTACATTACCTACCTTTTTTCATTCACTGTTATTCACATATATTGAAAGACAATTGTTCTGCTTTTTTCCTCTTATCCTCAGCTAGCCTCCCTAACCTCAGGTAGAGGTTTTTCATGTTCCAGTGTTTGTCCTTTTTTTCTCCCCCCTTGTTTTTATTCCCTTCCCACATGGCTTTTCAATTCAGACTGAAATGTACTTGAGGACCAAAGTTAATACAGTTTTATTCTGTTAGGGATTTTTGTTAAATAAGTAGAGTTTCAGCTGCCCTTGTCACACACAAAAAATAAGATAGATGATAGGTGTTAATCTCCTTGACTAAAATAACCATTTTACTATCTGTGTGTATCCTATAATGTCAACTTGTAAACCTCAAATATACACATTAACATTTTTTAAAAAAAGAAGTTTCACCAAAAAAGACACTTCTATTTAATGTATGTCTTATTTCTTTTACCTTAAGAAATGTTTCTCTTAACCTTTCTCCATTTTCAACCCCATTTGTTTGCTCTTCTCTGCAACAAAAATCCTCTAAAGAGTTTTCTATGCTCCATGTTCCAATTCCTCTTTTTCTACCTCTGCATCTTCATTGGTATATTTAAAAGATATCTTGAACTCAGATGTCCCAGACCGAACTCCTTTCCTCCCAAACCTTTCCCATTCTTTCTCATCTGAATTGATGGCAACTTTATACAGCCAGTTGCTCAGTTAAATCTTTGGAGTCATCCTTGACTCCTTCCTTTCTCTTGTATTCCAACAAATCTGTTGGCTTTTTCTATGAAATATATCTAGAATTCAACAGTTTTCTACTATTTCTGCTATTAGTATACTGATCATCTCTTGCTCAGATTTTTGTTATTACCCACTATCATTTCTTGCCTGGATTATAGTAATTGTGTTCTGTTCTCTCTGCTTTTTTCAGTCCTTGCCTCCCTACAGTCTATTCTCATATGTCAGCCAGAGTGATACTTTTAAAATATAAATAAAAAATTGTGTATTTACATGTAAGATTCTAAATGCAATATGTTATGCTAGATTGGATCCTGAAACAGAAAGAGGTTATTAATGGAAAAACTGGTGAAATCCAAATAAAGTCTATGGTTTAGTTGATAGAAATGTATCAGTGTTGGTTTCCTGGTTTTGATAAATGCACCGTGGTAGTATAAGATGTTAATATTAGAAGAAATTGGGTGAGGGGTATATGAGAACTTTCTATTATCTTTGTAACCCTTCTGTAAATTCAGAATTATTTCAAAATAATATACAGAAGAATAAAACATTACTTTTTTGCTTAAAAACCTTTCGTGAATCATTTGATTCATAGTAGAAGCTAACAGCCTTACGTTGGCCTACAATAGTCTACATCAGTCTTGTCCAACTTACAGCTCACAGGCTGCCTGTGGCCTATGATGGCTTTGAATGCGGCCCACCACAAATTTGTAAACTTTCTTAAAACATTATGAGATTTTTTTTTTTTTGAGCCCTTTAGGTATCATTAGTGTTAGTGTATTTTATGTGTGGCCCAAGACAATTCTTCCTCCAGTGTGGCCTAAGGAAGTCAAAAGATTGGACACCTCTGCTCTACATGATCTGGTCTCCCATTACCTCTCTGACTACATGTCTTTGTATTCTCTCTCCCTTTGTTCCAGCCATACTTACCACCCTGTTTCTTAAGTACACTAGGCCTACTTCTACCACAGGGCCTTTGCACTGACTGCTGCTTCTTTCTAGAATGCTTTTGGATCCATACAGCTATTCCTTCATAGCTTTTACATGTTGTTCAAATGTCACCTTTGCAGTAAAGCATATCCCAACCTCCCTATTTAAATTGAAGCTTTGCAACTTCCATAGCCCCTACCCCTATCTCCTCCACCCTGTTTTATCTCCTCTTTTTACTTCAGCGCTTATCATTATTCTATATATGTATTACATATTTGTTACATGTATTTTTAATTGTGTTCCCCTATTAAAATGTAAAATCCATGAAGGCAGGCATTTTTATCTGTTTTGTTGTCTTATGCCACATTCTAAAGCATTTGTCTGAGGCATAGAAGTACTCAGTAGGTTTTGTTTGAATGAATGACTGACTTGATTGGGTGTTTGAATCTGTAATTTTTTTTTTTTTTTTTTTGAGATGGAGTCTTGCTCCGTTTCCCAGGCTGGAGTGCAGTGGCACAATCTCTACTCACTACAACCTCTGCCTCCTGGGTTCCAGCAATTCTCTCTTCTCAGCCTCCTGAGTAGCTGGGATTACAGGTGCATGCCACCATGCCCAGCAAATTTTTTGTATTTTTAGTACAGACGGGGTTTCACCATGTTGGCCAGACTGGTCTCGAACTCCTGACCTCGTGATCCACCCGCCTCAGCCTCCCAAAGTGCTGGGATTACAGGCATGAAGGTGCTGGGATTACAGGCATGAGCCACCGCATTTGACCATGAACCTGTAATTTTTGATTTGCAGTCTGAAACACTGAATTATTTATCACTTCCATGTATCATGCTATTTCTTGCCTCCAAGTTTTTACTCATGCAGACTCTTCTATTTGGAATGCCCTTCCTTATCTTTCTTCCTCTACCCCTAAGTTGTTTTCACCTGACCATTTCTCTTTAAAGATTCGTATAATATTAGATGTAACTCAAGGAAGCCTTCCCTAAAATGTCAGGCCAGGGTAAGTGCTGCTTTTCAGAGGAGCTCCCTTCCTACCTCTGCATTTTACAAACTTATATTATAATTCTGTTTGGGTGTCTCTATTTCAGTAGAGAGTTGCGAATGTGTCTTACTGATCTTTGGGATATCAAATCCTGGTACATAGGAAGTAATCAGTGAATGTTTTAATGCATTAATGGCATGATCAAGGACACTCAGCTATGAAGCATAGTTTTGATTCCAACCTGGGTCTTTTGAGTGTAAAATCAATGGCTTATTTGCTATACCTTGTTTCTTAGGAAAAAGATGGCTGTCTTTAAAATAATTGAAAGGTACTGTATCCTTTTGATACAAGTAGGAGGGAGTTAATGCATTGTATAGCCCTGGACAATTTGCTCCTTGTTATTGCGGAAGCTGCCAGCCCTGATGAAAGTGAGTTGTGCCTTTTTCTAAGGCATTGGCTGAAATCATTGATCAGGGTTCAATTGCAGACAGCAAATTTTTAATGTTGATGAAATTAGGCACTTTTGGGGAGGAAAACATTCTTGAGATTTGTGTTGCCAAAAAGAAGAAATACTTGCCAAAGAAGAAATACATGCCAAAATTCCAAACTGTTCATGAGGCATTTATGTTTTTGCTAGATGCCATTACTACCAGTAACTTCATGTTACATTAAACTTGTGTACCATTGGGAAATCCCAGAGTGTTTAAAGATGTTGCAAAGATTTTCTTTCAGCAGTACCGAAATTTGCTCTTAAGATTGATTTAATTATGATTAGTTTGTTAACAGTATCTCTGACACGTAGCACAAAATTAGGTAAACTAATTTTGCGTTTAAAATACTGTTTGTTTAATCCTAGATAATGAGCTAGACTTCCCAACTACTCTTTATGATTGGCATCCTGAGTTCAAACTGCCTTCTGAATATTATCATTATTGTCGCAGCCTATAAACTAAAGCAGTTTTATCTTCACCTAGCCCTTAAGACTAACAAAAAAGGAAATCGATTAGCTCTATAGATTCTGAAAAGGCTTCCACATTAGTAATGTCGTTGCAAATGATAATTAGGCTTGAGATTAAGTAATCAAAAACAAATATTACCTGGAGGACATTGTATCCTGAATTTGTGTTCATTTCCATAGCTTTGCTAATCCTACAGAAGTGACTAAAATGTTGAAGTAAGCAAAGAGTTCAATCTGGTCTTGTGTGAGAGAATGCTATTAACTTACTTCTAATTTTACCTGAGCAGTGAATGAGAATTTTATTGGATAAAGAAGGAACTTGCTCATTTGAAACAGAAGCACATGGCTGCTAAGAAATGAGATGCAGCCATTGTTGAAACCTGTCAAAGTCTTGACAGTATAAATATTGACATGCTGAGACATGTCAATATTTACCATAGAATTTGGAAGTTGCCAAGTTCCTGTTTAAGAAATGTGACCCTAGCATTGGACACAGTATATCAATAAATACGGAACATGTCCAAATGAACAGCTGCTCAGGGAAAATAAAATTACATCTGTCTAAACGTTGGGGCACTTAAAAAGTTAAAGTTTAAATGTTTATGATTTTTTTTGTAATTTTTAGGTAGATGCTTGTATGATATAGTATACTAATAGAGTTCCATGTATGGGTTTAACATAAAATGACAGTATCATTGCTATTTATAAATTTGTAAATTAGCTGTGCTGTGATACTCATCTATAAATTGAATTTTAAAAACTTGCCAAGTGTTGTGTTTAGGAACTAACCCTTCATTTTCAACATTGTTCTTAAGGAGAAATTGGCTCATGATGACTTAGATATTAATTTGGGGAGACAAAAGTTTATACTCTGATAACTTCTTAAATGGCAACATAGAAAATAGAAGTTTTTGCACTTTAGATGTGATAAGGGAATATGACCTTGTTGTCATTATCTGACAAGCATGTCTCAGTAGAAAATCATATTATAGATCACCACTGTTAATTCCCATCTGAATATCACTGTATTTTAACAAAAAGCTTTTTGATGCAAAGTAGACATTTGAGCTTTTATATCAAGTCATTAGAACCACACAATCTTACATTGTTTTGCGGACTTCTAGAAGAAGTTTAAACTTAGCAATTCTTTGAACGACAGTCCTAAAACAATCTTAAGAACATAAAACATGGGTATCAGGACTTGTTTTCTCATTGCTTCTCCTTTCTAATGGTAGTGATAGGTGGCTTTTAAATAGTAATCTAATCATTTAACCAGTTCATAATATTGTATGAGTTCTTAGAAGAAATGAATGATTTATTAAGTCCATATAGTAGCGTACATTGTAATTAGCTATAGAGTTGACCCTTGAACAATATAGGGGTTAGGGATGCCAACCTCTCACGCAGTTGAAAATCCATGTATAACTTTTGGCTCCTTCAAAACTTAACTACTAATAGTTTATTGTTGACCAGAAGCCTCATCAATAACATAAACAGTTGATTAACATATGTTTTGTGTGTTATATGCATTATGTACTGTATTCTTACAATAAAGTAAGCTAGAAAAAAGTAAATGTTATTAAGAAAATCATAATGAAAGGAAAATATATTTACTATTCATTAAGTGGAAGTCGATCATCATAAAGGTCTTCATTCTTGTCTTCATGTTGAGCTGGCTGGGGCGGAAGAGGAAGAGAAGGATTGATCTTGCTGTCTCTGGGCTGGCAGAGGTGGCAGAGGTGGCAGAGGTAGAGGAGGTGGAAGAGGAGGCAGGAGAGGTGGACACAGTTGGTGTAACTTTTATTGAGAAACTTTAGAGTGTAAGTGGACCCACACAGAACAAACCTTCAGTTGTTCAGCGATCAACTGTGTATGTGCCTTAATTTAATTTCTCAGTTTTTATCTAGTTTTTTTTTTCAAAAACAGTTTTCTAAGACATTGGCTGGTTCTCTCTCTTTCTCATTTTGTCCTGAGTCAAAGAAATCCCTTAGATATTAAATCAGACATACCTGAACTGAATGTTCGTACCTAAATGCCTAACCATGATCTTTATGTTCTTGAATGTTCTAATTTGGTTGAATTTTTTTGGCCATCAGCTAAATAGATATCTCTGTTTTATATAACCTCTAAACAAGGTTTAATTAAAAAATCAGGCATTTCTAGGCCAGGAGTGGTGGCTCACACCTGTAATTCCAGCACTTTGGGAGGCCAAAGCAGGTGGATCACCAGAGGTCAGAATTTCAAGTCCAGCCTGGCCAACCTGGTGAAACCCCATCTCTACCAAAAATACAAAAATTAGCCGGGAGTGGTGGTGCATGCCTGTAATCTCAGCTACTCGGGAGGCTGAGACATGAGAATTGCTTGAACCTGGGAGGCAGAGGTTGCAGTGAGCTGAGATTGCGCCACTGCACTCCAGCCTGGGCAACAGAGTGAGACCCTGTCTCCAAAAAAATAAAAAATAAAAAGACATTTCTAAATAACAACAGCCCTATAAAATTTGTCCTGGTTGGCTGAGCACAGTGGCTCACACTTGTAATCCCAGCACTTTGGGAGGCCGAGGCAGGTAGATCATTTGAGGTCAGGCGTTTGAGACCAGCATGGCCAACATAGTGAAACCCCATCTCTACTAAAAATACAAAAATCAGCCAGGCGTGGTGGTGCATGCCTGTAATCCCAGCTACTCAGTAGGCTGAGGCAGGGGAATCACTTGAGCCTGAGAGGTAGAGGTTGCAGTGAGCCGAGATGGTGCCACTGTACTCCAGTCTGGGTGACAGAGTGAGACCCTGTGTCAAAAAAAAAAAATTTTTTTTTTCCTGGTCATAGCGTGTTCATTGTTTCAGCAAGCAAGATGTCATACTAAAATACACAAAAAAATTAATACAATCTTATCTTTGAAAATTTAGTAATTTACTCTTTTTTTGGTGTATGTCTCTTCTTTATTTGGTTTGGAGCTACATGCCTTGTTAAAATGAAAAGCATGTACCTCATTTTTCTGGATATTTTGTATTTCTGATGTTTCACTGGGCAGTCTTGTACCTTGGCCAAAGTGGAATATTTATGCAGGCAGAATTGAATTTAATAATATACATTTCAATTGTTAAGGAAAAATAATTTTCAAGGCATTGGAATTGTATTGTCGTTGCTACTGGTGAATCTACTAGTTGATTGTTGGTATTTCATTTTCTGAACATTGGATTCCTCAGGCAAACCTTCTCTTATACCTCTTATTTTTGTTTATATTGGTCCTGTAATTTTTTTACCTTAGAAAATGCAGCATCTTTTTATGTCATTTAGCAGGTATTTGATGTATCTTGTCATTATTTTATTACTACTTTAACTCTGCTGTAGCAAAATTCTATACTACCTTGTATATATTTACTTATTTTTTAAATAACTAACAAGTTTAATTATAATTTATATAGAACTCTGTATTGTCATGTTCTCCTAAGTGGATGAAAAGTTTCTGGAGAGAAAGTGTCATTACTTTTTTTTTCTGATCTGCTAGAGTTCTCATTGAACACAAAGTTTGCACATACTGCTTCCTTAATGAATGACTGGTAGATGGAGTGGAATTTTTACAACTGACGTTCTGCAGGTTGATTTCAGTTCGTTATTTCAACTTAATGGGAAATTTTTAAAACATATTAAGTGACTATGAAACTAACTTGACTGAATAGCTTTTCAGATCAGCATTTTAAATTTTGCTGTGCAGAATTGCTTCTCTTGCACAAAGTAGTGTGGCTTCATTTGTTAATAAACATTTCATTAATTCTTTTGGGGAAGTGTTTGATTAAAAATAAATTTTTTTTTCTAAGACATGTAACATTCCCAGCTTCTCCCTAATAAGAAAATTATTCATGATAGTTCTGTAGTTTGAAGATTGTTGATGCATATAACATTTCCAACTTCCTTCTAATAAGATAATCATTCTTGATTGTTCTGAAGTTTAAAGATTATTGATAATTTGACTTCATTTTCACTTCATTGTACTTTATAGGCAGGAACATGTTTGATTTAGTGCTATTTCAGAATCCTTTGAAGAAGTCTGACAATCTTTTTAGGATTTTGTTTCAAAATTGATATTAAGTTGTAGCCATAAAGAGGCCACCAATTGATTAATCTTTCTGATCAATAAGGTAATTTAAAGATACTCTTTTAGCTGTGTGACCTTGTTTCACTGCTGCCTGCTGGAGGTGGTTGCCAATTTTGCAGGTAACTAAGTGCTATCAGACACTACCCTTGTAGAAGCACAGCCTCCTAAATTGTGATACCTTGATAACAAATGACTTCTAATCTGGATTAATTTTGTTGCTTGCTTCATTCAAATGTTGGAGAGGCCAGCACATGGGAATCTAACAGAATAGTACTAGAATTCTGAAACTATCAAAGTTCCATTTCTATCAGCCACTAGGTGAGCTTTCTGCTGAGTGATTCAGTGTATGTAATTCAGCTCCAGGCCCTTTCCATCAGGAGAAGAACTGGCAGAGAATCTGCTAAGCATGATTATCCCAATATCCTTCCTATATTAAACCCTCTTTTTTTCCCCCAGTGGGGGAATAAGATAATTGACTTGGGATCCTTGGAGGCCAATCATAACTCCAATTCTCTAACACCAAGTGGGTATTCAACAATTCAGTACAATTCAAACACCATCTATCTAGGGTTAGTGTCAGATCCCACAGGTTTGTGGGCTCAGTCTCACAAAATTGCCTCCACTTCAGATGCCAGTCACAAGTCCTGAGTCACCTATACTTTTGACCAACCAGTTATAAATCAAGGTTTCCCTTGATTTATGCCTCACGAATAATTTTCTTATTAGGGAGAAGCTGGGAATGTTACATGTCTTAGAAAAAAAAATTATTTTTAATCAAACACTTCCCCAAAAGAATTAATGAAATGTTTATTAACAAATGAAGCCACACTACTTTGTGCAAGAGAAGCAATTCTGCCTCAGGTTTGATAATTTGCTATAATGGGTCACAGAAATCAGAAAAATATTTTATTTACCTTTACTGGTTTAGTACAAAAGATAGAACTTAGGAACAGCCAAATGAGAGAGGACACATAGGGAAAGTTATGGTGGCAGGGGAACAGGACTTCAATGCCCTTCTGTGGACATGCCACCTTTTAGCACCATGATGTGTTCACCAAGCAGGAAGCTGTTCACATCTCCTTGTTCAAGAGTTTTGTTTTTTTGAGACAGGGTTTCACTCTGTCACCCAGGTTGGAGTGCAGGTAGCACAATCATAGCTCACTGTAATGTCAAAGGCCTGGGCTCAAGTGATCCTCCTTCCTAAGCCTCCTGATATGGTTTGGCTGTTTCCCCATGTAAATCTGATCTTGAATTCCCACGTGTTGTGGGAGAGACCCAGTGGGAGGTAATTGAATCATGGGGGCAGTTCTTTTTCATGCTTTTCTCATGATAGTGAATAAATCTCACGAGATCTGATGGTTTTATAAGGTGGTGGGGTTGGGGGGGGCTCCCTGCACAAGCTCTGTCTCATTGCCTGCTGCCATCCATGTAAGACATGAATTGCTCCTCCATGCCTTCTGCCATGATTATGAGACCGCCTCAGCCATGTGGAACTGTAAGTCCATTAAACTGTTTTTTTCCATATAAATTACTGAATCTCAGGTATGTCTATCAGCAGTGTGAAAATGGACTTATAAACCTCCCAATTCAAATTTTTATAGAGCTCAATCTCCTGGTCTGGGTGCATGGGAGGAATGGAGGGTAGGGAGGAGGGTCTGAAAATCCCAGCCTACTAATCACTTGGTGTTTCTGGTGACCAGCTCCATCCTGAGGCTGTCTAGAGGCCCCACTGTAAGTCACTTCATTATTATAAACTCAGGTGTAATTGAAAGCTGTTCCTTATGAGTAACAAAAACATTCCTATCACTCAGGAAATTTCAAGGGTTTTGCCAACTCTGTGCGAGGAGCAGGGGACAAAGTTCAAACATATTTCTTATAATATCACACACACTCATTATTTTTTGTTTGTTAAATTTTATTTATATTATATATTATGTTATGGTTGTTTATATTTATGGGGTACAAAGTGATATTATGATTTTGAATGCAATGCAGAATGGTTAAATTAAGCTAATTAACATATCTATCCCCTGAAGTATTTAACATTGTTTATTTGTGGCAATATTGAAATGTACAGTACTCAATTGTTAGCTATGTTCAGCATGCTGTACAATTGATCTAAAATAGAAAAGTCAGACTTATTTCTCATATATAACTGAGGCTTTATACTCTTTTGACTGTTGTGTTAGCCTGTTTTCACACTGCTATGAGGAACTGCCTAAGACTAGGTAAATTATAAGGAAAAGAGGTTTAATTGACCCACAGTTCTGCATGGCTGTGGAGGCCTCAGGAAACTTACAATCATGGCAGAAGGAAAAGCAGGCAGGCATATCTTACATGGTGGCAGGTGAGAGAGAAGAGTGAAATGGGAACTGCCAAACTATTAAAACCATCAGCTCTTGTGATAACTCACTCCACTATTATGAGAACAGCATGGGGGAAGTCGTCCCTGTGATCCAATCACCTCCCACCAGGTCCTAGGTCAACATCTGGGGATTACAATTCGAGATGAGATTTGGGTGGGGACACAGCCAAACCATATCAACTGCCCATCCTCCCTACCACCCAGCCTCTGGTAACCACCATTCTACTCTCTGCTTCTGTGAGTTCAATTAATTTAGATTATACATATAAGTGAGAACTGTGGCATTTGTCTTTCTGTGCCTTGCCTATTTCACTTAGGGTAATGTCCTCCAATTCCGTCTGTGATGTCACAAATTACAAAGTTATTTTTATTTTTTAAAGCCTGAATAGTGTTCCATTGTGTGTAGATGAATTTTTTGGTATTCATTTATCCTCTGATAGACATTTAGGTTTATTCCATTATTTGGCTATTGTCTAGTGCTGCAGTGAATATGAGACTACAGATGTCTCTTCCACATTCTGATTTTAAAACTTTCAGGTAAATACTCAGAAGTGGGATTGCTGGATCATATAGTAATTCTATTTTTAGTTTTTTGAGGATCCTCCATACTGTTTCCCGTAATGGTTATGCTAATTTATGTTCCTACCAACAGGATACAAAGGTTCCCTTTTTCTCCACCTTCTTGCAAGTGTTTGTTGTTTTTGTTGATAGTGGCCATTCTCACAGATAGGAGGTGATATCTAATTGTGATTTTAATTTCTATCTCCCTAATGATTAGTGATGGTGAGCGTTTTTTCAAGTATCTATCAGTTATTCAGATGTATTCTTTTGACAAATACCTATTCAGGTCAATAGCTCACGTTTTTATTGGATTATCTGTTTTGTTTCTATAGAGCTGTTTGATTTCCTCTTATACTTTGGATATTAGCCCTTTACCAAATATATGGACTGCAGATATTTTCTTAATTCTGTAGGTTGTCTTTTTACTCTGCTAATTGTTTCCTTTGATGTGCAGAAGCTTTCTAGTTTGATGTAATCTCATTTGTCTATCTTTGCTTTTGTTTCCTATGCTTTTAATGTCAAATCCATTTTAATGTCAAATAACAAAAAAGTTATGAAAGCACAGAACCTAGTGGTATAAGTAATACTGATCAACATTCAGAATATTTTTAGGATGGTAATGGTGGTGTGTAGAGTAATTTTATTCTTAGTACAGGGTTAAAGGACAAAATTATTAATTGCAACCACAGCTACAATAAACTTTCAAGGGATATATATATTATAATATGATGTAATTTAGACATTAGAAACATAAGATGGCTGGGTAAAGGTGTTGAGTTGTATTTAATCAATGTTAAGCTGCTATCAGGTTAAAATAGACAGAAGTGTAAGATATTCTTTGTAAGCCTCATGGTAGCCAAAAAGCAAAAATCTGTAGGAGATTCACAAAAAATAAAATTAGATTCAAAAGATTCAAGACATACCACACAGGAAACTATCAAACCACAAAGGAAAATTGCAAGAGATGAAGAAGGAAACAAAATATCTTCAAGAAAAAAAGACCCAATGATAGAAAATAATTAACAAAATGGCGAGAAAGTTAGTCCTTTCCTTACTTATCAACAATTATATTGAGTGTAAACGGATTATATTCTCCTATAAAAGACAAGGAGTAAATGAATGGACACACACACACACACACACACACACACAAGACCTAACTACATGCTACCTACAAGGAACTCACTGCACTTTTGAGGACACATATAGACTGAAAGTGAAGAAATGGAAAAAGATATTCTACACAAATGGTAACCAAAAATCAGCAGAAGTAGCAATACTTACAGCAGAAAATACTTTAAGTCAAAAGCTGTAAAAAGAAGAAAATGAAGGCATTATATAATGATAAAGTAGTCAGTTTGCCAAGAGGCTATAACAATTATAAATACATATGTACCCAGCAATGGAGCACCTAAATATATAAAGCAAACATTAAAGGGTGTACAGAGATAGACTGTAATACAATAACAGTAGAGAACTTCAATGCACCACTTTCAATAATGGACAGATAATGTCAGAAAATTAATAAGGCAATGTTAGACTTAAGCAACACTTTAAATGAAATGAACCGTAACAGACATATACAGAGTATTCCATCTTAACACCAACAGGATACACAATCTTCTCAAATGTACACAGATCATTTCTGGGATAGATTGTATGTTAGTTCACAAAGCACATCTTAGGAAGTTGAAGAAGACTGAAATCATATCACATATCTTTTCTGACCACAATTGTATGAAACTAGAAATCAATTACGGGAAGAATTTCAGAAAATTCAGAAGTATACTGAAATTAACAACATGCTCCTGAACAACCAATAGGTCAATTGAGGAATTAAAAGGGAAATTAAAAAATATCTTTAGACAAACAAAAATGAAAACACGGTATGCCAAAATTTATGGGATGTTGTAAAAGTTTTGCTTGTCTGGGAAAGTTTTTATTTCCTTCTTATTTTTGAAAGACATCTTTGCTGGGTAAAGTCTTCTTGGTTGGCAGCATTTTTTTACGCCCCATCCCCCGAGCAGTTTGAATATATCAGCCCACTCTCTCCTGGTCTGGGGTTTCTGCTAAGAAGTTTATTGTTATTTTTATTGGAACCCTTTTATGTGTGATTTCTTTATTATCTTTTGCTGTTTTCAGAATTTTTTCTTTCTCTTTAATTTTTGATAGTTTGATAATTACATGTTATCGTCAACTCCTCTTTGGTTTGAATTTGGTTGGAGATCTCCTTTCTTCATGTACCTGGATGTTGGCTTCCTTCTGATTAGGGAACTTTTCATTTGTTATTTCTTTAAATATGCATCTACCTACTTTGTTTTTCTACTTCTTAATTCCTATTATGTATAGGTTAGGTCTCTTGATGGTGCTCCATAATCCCCATAGGCTCCCCTCCCCTCCTTTCCCGTTCCCTCCCCTTCCCTCCCCTCCCCTCTCCTCCCCTTCCCTCCGCTCCCCTCTCTTCCCCTCCTTTCCCCTCCCCTCTCTTCCCCTCCTCTCCCCTCTTCTCCTCTCCCCTCTCCTCCCCTCTTCTTTCCTTTCCTCTTTTTCTTTTTTTCTTTGCTCCTCTGACTGATTTCAAATGTCCATCTAGAAGCTCACTGATTCTTTCTTCAGCTTCCTCAAGGCAGCTGTTCAAGCTTCCTATTTCATTTTTCAGTTTAGTCGTTGTATTCTTCATCTCCTGGATATTCATTTTTTAATTGTTTCTATTTCTTTGTCAAACTTTTCATTTTGTTCATGTATTTTCAAAATTTAATTTTCTATTTATATATTCTTGTGGTTAACTTTTTTTTTTTCCCAAAAGAGTTGAGGTTTCACTCTGTCTCCCAGGCTGGAGACTGGAGTGCAGTGACAAAATCATAGTTCACCATAGCTTTGAATTCCTGGGCACAAGGGATCCTCCTGCTTCAGCCTCCTGAGTTGCTGGAACTACAGGTGTGAGCCACCATGTGCTGCCCATTTAACTTTTTAATAAGGATTATTCTGAAATCTTTTTTTTTTTTTTTTTTTACCATTTTATGGATTCCATTTTCTTTGGGATTCATTGTTGGAGTTTTATTCATTTCTTTTGGAGGTGTCATGATTTCCTGAGTCTTTGTAATCCTGTGTCCTTGTGTTGGTGTTTGCACATTTGTGGAGACAACCACCTTTTCCAGCTTTTACAGGTGTTCGTTGGCAGGGATAGAACTTTACTATTTATTCTAGCCTATACTTCTGGAGGGGCCAGCTAGTAATAACCCTTAGCAGACACAGCTTGCTTTTAGGTTCTGTAGAAAGCTGGCCTGCTACCTTTGCTCTGAATTTTTTTGGGGTAGCTACATAGGTTCTCTTATCTGACAGGACCACCGTCTGAGCTCTGCAATCAGGCCGAGCTGCTGAATGGACACAGAAATTTCCTCTGATCAGCCTTGGCCACAGGGTGTATTCCTTTATTTGAGTTCAGCAGTTGGACAGGGTTGCAGGAGGGTCCTTGAGGTTAAGTGGATTGGGGTGGATGGACCAATTTTTATGTTCAATAGAAATGCTTATTAGAAATGATCAGTGGGGTAGGAAAGTAGGCTTTGAGGCTAGGGACCACTCTGGTTAAACTCCCTCCTATGTCAGAACAAGTGCCTGCCTGTTGTCAAAATCTGCTGAGGATCTGTTGTGGGATGGTGGAGGCTGGCAAGCCTGTCCCAGTTGCTCAGACTGGCTAGTCTTCTGGTAGTTCTCTACCTAGACAGGATTACTCCTGGACTGCAGCAGAGAGAGGCTGTAGCTAAGCAGAGGCCCTTCAGGATCTGCTGTGGATTGGAGGCTAACAAGTCTGTCCCAGTGCACAGATCATGAATCTCCTAGCAGATCTTTGTACTTGCAGGATAGTTCTTAAATTGCAGTGAGAGGGGCTGGAGCAGAGACTGGGCCCCTTCACAGTCTGCTGTGGGACAGGAGCTGGCAAGCCTATTCCGGTATTATTAAGATGGATGCTTCTTTCAGCAGTTCCCTGTCCAGGCAAGATAGTTCCCAGCAAGAGGATTGGAGCTGAGACTGAGCCCTTCCAGGATCTGCTGTGGGATGGAGGCAGACACACCCGTTGCAGTGGTTCAGACTTACACGAATCCCAGAAGTTCTTTGCATAGGTGGGATAGTTCCCTTACTGTGGCAGGGAGGGGTTGGAGCTGAGACTGAGCCCTGTCAGGATCTACTGTGGGATGGAGGCTGAGTCACCAAGCCTGCCTTGGTGACTCAGATATATGAGTCTCCCAGCAGTTCTCTACATGGGCAGGATATTTCCAGGGCTGCCGGACAGAAGTGCTGTAGCCAAGAAAGGTCCCCCTTGGGATCTGCTGTGGGATAGAGGGTGGCAATCCCATCCCAGTGGCTCAGATGGGTAAGTGTTTCTCTGGGTTTTTGTGTGACCAGTGATAAGCGGGAACCACAGATGAGGGGGGCTGGAGCTGAATTATAGGGTAACTTTTGGGTCCACTGCCAAGACTGATGTTGGTGGGCTGACCGGCCTTTGTGGGGCACTTGGGTGTGTAATTCCTCCAGGACCCCTTGGCAGGTGGTTTTGGTTGCAAAAGCCAAAGGGGGCTGAAGCCAAGCCGTTTGGGGAACAGGATTATTTCTGTGTTTGAACCCAGGAGCCCAATCTGTGTGTCCAGGTGCAAGTTTGTACCCTCAAAATGGCCTTCCTAAGTCTTGGGCTCCACTTGGGTTTTACAGCCTCCTACCTGAATCCCAAGACTCCTACAACAAGATTTTTGTTTGTGGATGGCTGCAGAATTCTTATTGTAGGTGTACACATATAATTTTGGAAACTTTATACCCAGTGTTTTGAAAAACAATATGAGCCAACATTTCAAAGCCAGTTGACTTCTACATAAAAATTGGCATTTGTCAGTTTCTTGAATAATCTGAATGACAGAACACTAAGGACCAATACTTACCCATAACAATCTGCTTTGCAGTGAGTAATGGCTACCACCTTTATATGGTACTTGTAGTTTCTAGTTTCCCACAGTCCCACTCGTCATGCAATGGATGCATATGACCTCACTCCTGATCTGCATGGCCCCTGGATATATTAGAACTTGTACCCTTACAAGAGAAAATAGAGCTTGACTTAAATTTTAGGTATAAATTTTAGTCCATTTTGAGAATGTATAACCCAAGGGTTATACTCAGAACAGAGTCTTGCTTATACTTTGGAACTTCCTCCTGCTGGAGTTGTCCAAAATGTATTCAGAGATGTGGTCAAAAATGACAGACTGAGAAATTGAAGCGTGGGAAATAAATATGTAATTACTCATCCAATTAGGAATGAAAGTGCTTATGTGCTATTTATAACTGTTACTATTATTTGAACTGTATGAAATTGTCATTTTTATAGGTTAAAAATTGTGAAATGTTGGTAATTTTATATAGTTCCTAAATAGTTTTGTATTGCTGAATTTGAGGATATGTTATAGGTTTTGTTTTTTTTTTTTTCCTCAGACTAAGTTGCTCAGTCCTATCACTTGTCATCTTGTTTGCCATTAAGAAATAGGCAGATAAATGGGTGCGGTTTTAAGTAAATGATGGGTTTGTGAGTGGGGGGAAAAAAGTACATTGTTTATAAGTCTTATTCCTTTTTCACACAAGTGCTTTTAGTTACATTTCAGTTCTGAAAAACACTTTTTTTTTTTAAGTAGAAAAGACTGTATATAAGCTTAATTGGTGATGTTTCATAGGAACACCCTCACTCTTTTGGAATTGAAATAAGAGAGGTGTCAAAAATTTTGAGGCTTAAGAAATCATAATTACTGAGTTCTTGTTGAAAAAGACTGCTGCTTAGTTAATGCTGTTTCAGGTACTATCTTATCTCTTCTCTTCAGTTCTGTTAAGTGTCATTCTCACGTGAAACTGCAATTAGAACTAAAGTGTTCTTGTGACAGTCTAGAAAGTTTCCAAAATGATAAGTGTACTCTCATCCTTTCTGCCAAGTTTATTTGTAATCAAGAGTGGCCGCTCAATGAATATGAAGGAAGTTATAGTCTTGGAACTTAGGGTCCAATTTTAAGAGCACTTTGGAGCTAGGTATTAAATAGTATGTGGGAAATTTGTTCATGCATTAGGTCATTTTATTGCTTTTTAATACCCACTTATAGTGTTAGAGTAGGAAAGGAGAGGAAGTGAAATTTATGTTTATCACTGAAACTAATGATTATTAATGGTATTTGTAAAAGATAAGCAGAGGAAATGAGAAGTAATATGATATTTGGAATGGCAGCAACTGGCATTCCACAGTCATGAGAGGTAATTAAGAATGGACTGTGACCTCAACCAAGAGGCCTTATTTTTCTAGACTTATTTTATAGTACTAATGCTCTGTTCCTAAAGCATCAGATTAATTTAATGTCTCCCTTATACATCAGCTGTATATTACAAGTTTTTGAATAAGATTATGTTAGCAGTTATAACTGTATTTTACTACCTTATGGTGACTAAACATTGTGGTTTGCCTGGAATTGAGAGATTTTCTAGGTCTTGGGACTTTGTTTGAAAATTAGGAAAATTCCAGGAATACCTGGACAGGTGGTTACCTTACTTTCAAAATTATTAAAATGGAGTTAATTCTCACATGATTAGAAGGGTATTTAGTAATCCTGTGAATTCTTTACACTTAATGTTTAGAAAAAAATCTAACTCAAAAATATTATTTTAGGAAAGCACTTTTTATGTAGAAGTGTTGCTGGGTATTTTTGTTTTAATTGCTTTGGAAATTTAAAGGCAAACTGACTTTGTGGTAGTTTTTTCAAAAAAAAAAATCTTAATTTACCCTTTGGTAACACTAACCAGCAAGTTGGCAGGCTATTAATAATGAAAATACTAGCAATAAATTATTCAGTAAAAAAAATCTTTAATGTGGGGAGTGGGTATTCTGATAAAAAAGGAAAATGCAAATAGTCAGTGCTTTTAAAAAATACTAAACAAGAAATAATCCTTTTCTTTGCACTTAGTTTTCCTAAATTGTTGTGTGATTGTCTCAGAAGTGAATAGCCTAGTGTAGTTTCATAAACCTTTCTTTCCTTTTTTCTAGCAATTATATATGTTCCTGTCTTTGAATTTTTATAATGTGATAAGACTTTAAAACAATCTGTGACCACACTTTTGGTTTGCAATTTAAATTTTCTCTTTTAAGAATAAAAATAATAAGGTCAAACAAAATAATGTAACCAGGAAACTAATTACAGACTATTAACAGCATATGCTGTGTGCTAATCTTTATTCTGAACTCACTTTAGGTATCAGCCTACTTTTCTCAACAAGGGGGCACTTAAGTTAATTGCTTCATTAGAAACATGCATTTAGCACTTTCTGATCTGTAAGTACAACTCTTTGGCAGAGCTGCAGAAGTTTGAACACCTGCAGCCCAAGCAGCTTAAAAAGAAGTCATAATTTACTATAAAGGAAAATAAAAGAAGCTCAAGTTCAAAATGGTGTTATCAATGATATAGTGTTGTAACTAACTTGAGCTGACCTAAAAGAGAGAGTTGGCTTCTGCACTGCTCCTTATCAGCATCCAAAAGGGCATACAAAATTCTTTGTAAACTAATTTAAAAAGTGTCTTGTTTATTCAGAAGCAACTGTGAATGGTATTTGTTCAGACCTTAGATCACATCAATTGCATACCAGCCAACAACTTATTTCTCTTCTAAGAGAGAGGCCAAGTATCAAAGACACAAAGTACTAAAGATAAGCTTCTCAATTCTCAATTGTTCTGAACTCTCAATAAAGCTACTGATGTACAAATTGGGGTGGGACCCAACTGTTTCCACCTGCAGGCTTGTCTTAGATCCTTGGCTCTGGCTGGGAGAGGTGCTGATACTAATGTGACCTTTAGTGCCCTTGGAAAACAAAACACAGGCTTTCTTATAGCCCTAATCAATCAGTCCCTCTGAAGAGGATTCCACCCCGTTTCTTCAAGTAGTCTTGGGGCAAAAAACTATGGCTGACTATTCCCATTTACAGGGCTGGTGAAAGCAAAGAGATCGTTCATTTGCTCTTACTGAATCTTAAAAGACATTCCAAGTCATCTTTTTTTCTGTTTCCATGGGTGATTCTTACTAGATGTTTTGTATTTGATATTTTGTAAGACGGTGATCTCAGTAAGTAAAAGAATGAAGTGCTTTCAAACCTCATTCAAATAGTATGGTATTAGGAAATTAAGACTTATTTGATATAAAGAACATTTCTGAGACTGCTGAGGCACAAACAAGTTACTTGTAGGATACTATGTTGTCACTTATGGGCTATTAATGTTAATTGCTTAAATGTGGTTCACAGGTAGTCTCCAAAGGTTCAAATGTGAGTTTACTAAATAATAGAATCTTTAAAATAAAATCATATAATTTTTGTCATGAGTACCTAGAATTAGAAAATTGGAAAATATTTGAAACATGAATAATTCAAAGATGTTCTTAAAACTGATCCCCAGATGTCTTTTTAACATCATTGAGATTAAAGCCCTTTATATTATTGTGAAAGTAGAAGGAGTTACTGAAAGGCATCTGGAATATTGAATTTTAAACAAAATTTTCTCTGTAATTAGAAATTTGTCACTTGGTTCAAATATGGCTTTAAAAAAAAGCAATGAAACCAATTGCTATTTCACAGTAATTATAAGTGCTGTATTTTCCTTTCACAAAATTATATTAATGGTAACAATAGCCATGGTTCTTAAGGTAAGTTTAAGACAAAATAATCTGTATAAGTATGTGTGCATCTGTGTATGTTTGTATGGAAATACTATAGAGGCAAAAAATGCTATGCCACAAGTAGTTCCTACACCCTCCCATGCACCCCACCCCCAAAATTGTGGGTTTTGAGCCAATTAGAATTATGTAAGCCTTGAACTATATGTCTTTTTCAATGATTGGCATAGAAAAACAGTAACAGATTTTCCAGTAATTTTCAAATTTAAGGATTACAGAGCATGTGAGTAATTTACTGCACATTAAATGTATTGACTAATTGATCTAAAAGAAAATATTCACAAATGGATAAAGCATTTCAGAATTAAGCACATCTAGGCAAAGGACCTTATTGTAGGAGAAAATTTTGACTAAATGGAATATTTAAAAATTATTTTTTCTGTGATTATCGTATCAAACCTACAAACTTAAATATATTTAAAAATTTTACATGCCTAATTGATGGGGCTATAAGGATTACTTTATAATGTTTTTTTAAAGGATCATCTAATGAGAGATTCATGCTATGTGATTAAATAATAGTTGTAATGTTTTCATGTTGGAAGTTTGTGCTTTGTTCCTGATTCTGACTTTTTATAATGTTTTCTCTTTGCATATTTATAATTTTTATGTTATTTCTCTAGTTTTGTTTATTAGCTTCTACGGTATAAGCATCTTTTAATGAAGCTCACAAAATCAATTTTACAGTATCAGGCGTTACAGTATTAGAACAAATATAGGTATTTGCTTGAACTAAGTAATATGTGTCATTTTACAGTCTGATAAATTTGAAGTCAATCTGGGCAAGATTCTAGAGTGATTTACCAGAAGAATTGCTTTTGGATTAAAAGAAAAAGAACCTATCATTGTTACAAATAAGAGTAGGATCACTAATTAACAGTTTTAATTTCTTTTTTTTTTGTTGTTGTTCTTTTAAATAGTGTTGATAGGCTGGTAGAGTGGATAGATTTTGCCAAGGATTCTTCTTACATTCTTGTGACTTGGAAATATAAGTGGTGTTCCCACATAGTGTTGATGATTGATGTCTACTTGAGGGTGTTTCTAATGGCAGACTATACAGGTCTATGCCTGAGCTTGTCCTGCTCAACATTTTATGTGCATGACTTGAATACTTAGAAGAAGAAGTTTATCAGATTTCTAGATGACAAGGTCAGAGAGATAATAAACATGTTGGGTCACAGGAACAGAATCACTATTCAACGTAACCTTAACAAGCCAATATAAAACATAAAATTGAACCTCAGCAAACACATCAGACAACATCAACAAAAATTACAAACAAAGGATAGAGTAAAAGTGACTTAGTAATAACATACATAGAAAAACAACTAAACAAGGTTTAGTTGATATTAAACTCAAATAGGAATTTTTAGAATGATGTAGCTGCCAAAAACATAACAAAATACCCTCAACACAACCCCTATCACTCTCACTATCACTAAAAACAATAATTAAAACTGAATGTGATATTTCCTTGAAATTATAGAAGTGCAGTATTTAGGATGAAGTAATAGTCTTTGTCTATTTTTTAATTGTTTATAATACAACTAGACTACCAGTTGGGACTCAGTGAACTATGCTTTGAGTGGCAGAGATTAACTGTAGAGAATTTTGTGGAGATTAATCAAACTAGTGAGGGTATCAGAAATCATCTTATAAGAACTGTTTTGACTGCAAGCATATAGTCTTAAGAAGAGGCCTGTCGTGTGTAAGAGGATTTATACTTAATCTGTATGGACCCTACTGGTATTACTAGGAAAAATGGGTAGAATTCAAGGGTGACAGATCTGAAATAATTTTAAATAAATCCAAGGACAAGTATTTGTGGAAAGCCTTCTTTGGGACAGGCATAGACTTTTCAAATCCTCAGCAGACATATCCAGAAGTCAGCAATAGGGCATAGGAGATCAGAGTTGGAAACTTTTTTCTTGTAACTTGTTCCAGAATCAGAACTGGCTGTTTTGTTTCCCACACATCTCATATGATTGCAGAATATAAGCTTGGTTAACTACCATTTGATGGGAGACTGGAAATAAAAGTCTTAGTTTTGTTTTAGAGTAGTCTTAAAACAACAGCTCCTTATCTGGCAATGCTGTCACATGGCAGAAGCTCCCTAAGCATACCTCTTTCATGGTCCAACCCTGTTTCTTTATCTGGTAACTTTAGAAGTCTGGTTTTTCTTAACATCAGATCTACTAGACTTTCACATTCCTACTGACAAGCAAAGTGCTGTGGTAAGAAGAGCAGGTGGTGGATTTGAGTCCTTGCACCACCACTTAGTGTGTGATCTTGGGTATTAAACTTTACCTCTGTTTTTTATTCATACAATGAGGATCCTGTTAGTTGCTATATTCATAGGGTTCCAGTAAAGATAGAGCTGATATATATATATATATATATATGTCAACATATTTCCATTAATTATAGTACTTAATGGATTATTATTTAGTCACTAAGAATGCTAGGTGTAAAACTCTGTGCCACCATGAAAAAAGCTGTTTATAAGGTTTATTTAAACATGCGTGTCTGTGGATAAAGACAGAGGGAAATGTTCAGATAATCATTGTTTTGGGAAGGGCAAGATTAGGTTTTTAGAATTTTTATATTATGTGGTTGTCTGTTTGTTCAAGTAATGAAGTTCTTGTGCAGTTGCAAAGTACTTAACAAATGGATGATGGTGATCTTAGATCTGACTCCCTTCTAACTCTAACTTTCAGTATTACATTGTGTACCCCTAATTTTATTTTCTTCTTTATTGTATGAAGTAAAAAATTGGCTAACATGAAAACCATGGAAAATGTTTGCAAGAATGTGCAGTAATCAGAATTCTCATACTATCAATTGTAAACTGGTACAACGCTTTTAGAAAAATATTTGCTGTGTAGCACCAAAATTGAATATATCCATATCCTCTGATCCAACAATTTTACTCTTAGGTATATACTCAACAGAAATGCATATGTATTTGCTAGAGTGTTTCTGCCAGCAGTATTTGTAATAGTCAAAATCTAGAAAGTACCCAGATGCCTACCACTAGTGGAATGGATAAATAACCTGTCTTATACTCATATAATAGACTACTATACTGCCCTGAAAATCATCTATCACTTTAACACATAGTGTGGATGAATCTTTCAAACATAATGTTGAGCAAAAGAAGCCAGACACAAAATAGAACATGCTGTATGATTATATTTACATAAAGTAGAGAAATATTCAAAGCCCTCATCTCTGTTAGAAGATAAGATAGTGGTTATTTGGAGAGGCCAGTGGCTAGATTGGAGGGAGTGTGAGAATGAATTTTGGGTAGCAATGTTCTGCTTCTTGATCTAGGTACTACTTACATGGATTTGTTCAACTGTAAAATTCATTGAGTTGTACTTTTGTACTTTTGATGTATGTACTTTTCTGTCTATATATAATACTTAAATACAAAACTTAAAGAATGCAGAAACATTTATTGGCCTCAGGCTGTGATAATCTGATGCAACTTATCTCTATTACAGAGTGCCCCTGTCTCAGTGGATAGGGTGTTTCAGTCACTGAGCCTGGTCATCTCTGCCTTAGACAAGGCATGACTGGATACTATCAGCTGTTGGGTTGTGAGATTTTTTTTCCCCCATTGAATTATACTTACTCAACTTTTTCATTCCAGACAGTGTCTCCAGACAGAGACTAAGATACTTGGTCAATTTTATCCTTTCTAATTACTGTAATATTTCAGTAGTGAGATCAGTTCCAGGTCATTCTCACAAGTTCTTGCAACCATTTCTTTTGTGGTAGAAAAAAAGCCTATTGAATCTGGGGGAAAAGAAGTGGTAAAATTTACTCAGCATATTGTTGAGATGATAATTTTTTGTTTTTTTTTAGTAGAGACGGGGTTTCACCATGTTGGCCAGACTGGTCTTGAACTCCTGACCTCAGGCAATCTGCCCGTCTTGGCCTCCCAAAGTGCTGGGATTACCGGTGTGAGACACCGCGCCCAGCTGAGATGATAATTTTTATCTTCATTACTTGGACAAATCATTTTCCATTTATGGGCCTCTGCTTTTCTCATCTGTAAAAATTGTGAATTAATATTGAAGAAAACTGTGAATTTACTGAATGTATTATTTACTGAATTTAATGGTTGAATCTAATGGTTGAACCTATTATACAGTTTTTTTGTTTTGCTTATTTTCTTATTTCCTTGGTGTTTGTGTAGCTGAGAGGCCAGTACAGAAAACATTATTTGAGTTACAGTTTCTTTTAAAAATATTAATTGTATTCTCCCATTACAGGTATTAAGAAATGGAGAGAAAAATAAGCAGAATCCACCTTGTTTCTGAACCCAGTATAACTCATTTTCTACAAGTATCTTGGGAGAAAACACTGGAATCTGGTTTTGTTATTACACTTACTGATGGTCATTCAGCATGGACTGGGACAGGTAATACTAAAAACAAAGTTTTTATAAGTAAAATTTAAGTGTGCTATTCTTCAGTCCTCAGGGATACTTTTCCATTAGATATTGGGTAAAACTGATATTAATTTTACTTGCTATTGCTGTCAAATTTATACACAGGTTTGTAATATTTAATGCCACTTTCTATATTTAATAGTAATAGAAAAACAAACGTGTCCTAGAAAATTCCGGTTACCATTTGAATCTTAGTAACTTGGATTTGTTCAGAGGTTTAAAATGACCTCTTTATAGAAAATATAAATAGTACTTTCTAAATACATCTTTTCTCAGGACCCCAGGGAAGAAGTCTGGGGCAGAGGAAGGAGATTGGTTAGGTAAATGGGTATGTGTGTTGCCTTGGGGCAATGGGGTAGTGGTGGGTTATTTATTTATTTATTTTCCCCAGTGAACATATATTACATTTGTAACAAAACAGGACCAGAGTCTAAAAATTTGTAATGCAAGGTTCACACCCACATTTAGGATCTTGGCTGTGATTTTAGGAAATAGATTTTTTTAACTCTTTGGTAATAATATTTTAAAAATGCTAATGACCCTCAAATCATGTATGGAACATGGTGGATATAAAGTAAAAATATGTAGCCTTATATTTTCCTTATATACGAAGTTTTAATACTCTTCTAAAGTATCTTATTGAAAGATTTAAAGAACTATTTTTATAATTATGCAAAAGTCTTTTCTAGAGTTATGTTGTGAATAATGTTTTCTGTAAGATAATTTTTACATGTTAATTTACATACTATTTATATCTTCTATTAACTTTAGAAATATTTCTCTAGAATTTGTTACCATGATTATTATATCGTCTTTAAAATTACAATACATTGTAAAATTTTGTTTCTTTCTTGAGCGTTATGAATTATGTTATACAACACAGTCAAATTGAATTTATACTTACAGAGTTTCAAAAAAATTGTCTTTTTTGACACAGAACAGGTAATGTTGATGTAGGGATTCCTGTAAAATAAAGAATTTTCAGGGGTAATATTTGCAGTACTTATTATGATATCTATTTAAGCTACACATTTATCTGTAAGAGAAAGCAGAAATCAGATTGGTTGTTGCAGTTCAAGAGTAGAAGATTTGTCAGCTTGGTTTTATGTATGCCAGAGAGATTATATCCAGAAGACAATATTTCTTGTTTTAGGGTGAAGAGTGTATAAGGCTAAAGACAAGGGCAATAGATTAATGCTGGTCATCTGGGTAAGAAGAGCAGTTCTAACAACACAGCTTGGAAGCAAGTCCTAGGGGAAGTGGTTGCTTGTATGTAAGGAATACTGTATTTATAACTTTAGGTATTTCTAATTGGCAAATGGCGTATTCTGTATACTTAGTTGTTGTCAGACAGATGACCTTAAGGTGTTTCAGGAGCCTTAATTATCAAAGGAAGAGGCTGAATTCTAATCTAGTCCATAAGCCTCATTCACCAAGATAAAAATCAGTGATAATATGTTATTTGAAATTTTTTAATCATTAAGTATTGGGGGAAAAAAGAACACTCCATTAACTCTTATCTCTTAATTTAACCAGAAATGTAAGAACCTTACATTTATGGAACATTTCGTTTATATCATACAATTGTGCTGGCATCATTCTTAATAATATTAACATGAATTATCATTTCACTAGATGGTACTGATTTATACTGAGGGTAAGAGACACATTTGGTTTGTCAACACTCTTTGCAATTATCTAGACCGGTACCTACGAAATACATTCTCAATGAATACTTTTTTGATTGAAAGAATGAAAGGATGTCTCAAATATATAAAACTGGTCTGCGAAAAAAGAAAATAAATTGTTCATTTTAGAGTTAGCATGTTTTTGAATGAAAACTCCAGTTTTATATTTACTTATTGTTGACATTTGTCATAACTGCAGTATATTCTACCATTTATTTTTTAGCTAGTGGAATTTAATGTGACAAAAATGTGATATCAAACTTATGTATTCTCAGGTGGATTGTTACCATTTTGGTTTCCTGTACCAAACAAGCTTTAAAACAGAAAATTTTATAGTGCACTATGTGGTCATTTTATTTTCAAAAATATCTAATAGTGTTTAAATCTCTCATGTGTTTTATGCCTTCATTCATTTCTGTTTTCTTGTTTACATATCAGGGACAAAATAGGAAATCAAATAATATAACACTGTGCCCATGTTTAGTTAAGGCTTATTCCATAAATGTGATCTGGTACTTTACATGTAGACAATAACATCACTAAGGACATTGAAACAATTAAATAATTGAAACATGGAAACGGATTTCCTTCCGATACCTCATCCTGTTTTTTTTTGTTCAACATTTTGATTACTGCAACCTTCAATTTGGACAATTTTTTTTCTCTTTTTATTTGAGTGAAATTAAAAGGATGTAAGTTTTCTTTTAATCTCCCCTACACTAAACTCACTGATTTCCATTAGCAATGTTTTATCTAATGAATGTTTTTGAGGTCCAATTATCTAATTATCATGTGGTCTATCATCACATCAGTATTACAGGCGGTTATATCACAGGGGTAAGTCACAAAGTGGGTTAATGATCGATGACTCTGACTTTCATAAGAATTCCTATTGGCAGTAGGAAACTTATATCACCCATCTCTGGAGTAGTTTGAAGTTTATTAAAGAGTAAATTAAACTTTACTAATTGTTCTATTATCCACTAATTAGATCCACTTATAATTATCTTGAGTGTAAATATTTTTTGACTTATATGGAAATAGTGACAGAACTCAGTGGAAAGAGGATTTTAATAAATCAAGCAGTGAAATGGGTTTATGATGCAATACCAACTAGAATCCTAATGGTATGATAAGACTGTATGTCTTCTGAGCTCCAGTACAAGCTTAGGATGTGTGCAGGCTTTTGGCTAGTTATATATAGGTATCTGAAGGAAAAAAATCTTCTTTCCTCACTTACATCTTCATCTACCTATAAACACTGCAAAAGTGATGCTTTTCAGTGTTAAAGTGAGTCTCAGTCTGACTTCTACCAGTTCCTTGTTTTTTGGTCATGTTGGGCTGCTCATGTTTTATGCCTTATTATGTGGTTCAGTTGCATTCTTGCTGAATTTTATTATTTCCATTGCCTTTATTCTTGGTCACTGAAGTTTTAGAGCATCGCGTGCTTACAGCTATACTTTTTCCAGATGTTCTTGGCACAGAATTCAAAACTGGTGACCAGGTTGGTTTTTTAGGATTGAAGCCCTATGTAGGCAGTCAGATTTCCATGTTTACTTTTATAGGAATTTTTCAAGTACATTTTTGAACAAATAGCTGTTTTACATAATTAATTTCCTTTCATACGTTTTTTTCTCCTTCAAAAATTAAATATTCCGTAATAATCAGCACAGTATTTATTAGGAGAGGAAAATAAGAGGATATCTAGGATGATAACTGACAGATATCTAAAATGTTGTCTAAGATATTAGCACTTGAATTTGAGCTCCACAGGCTAGCATTTTTGGAATGAATGAATGATTACATATTTTCAGACAGGTATCTTTTCATTTTAATGAAATTTAGAATACTTTTAACTAGATGCTTTTTAAATAGATGTTCTCTGTTTTCTTTTGTGTTTTCTTCAAGTTTTTCTATGGCCGCATTAAAGATGGCATCTACAAATTTATTTCCTATTTCTCTGTGAAATAACTGTTCTTCCTAGGTATTGGTGAGTTAAAGTTAGATAGTTACTTTTTAACATAATGCAAACACAAAATATGAAATTATTCCTTAAATAGGAAGCATTTATCTTCTTCTTTTTTTTTTTTTAGAAGAGCTACTAGGGCATTTGAAAGATCAATAGGTTTGATAGTGATGATCATATTAAATGTGTCCACTTCCAATAGAGAAAATGTGAAAGTGTTTTAGAAGCTGTTAATATATGAATATAAGCTATTTTTATTCTTACCTCCTTCCAAAGGTTGTGTGACGTATGAGAATCATATTTTATTATCAAAACTTGTTATCAAAAATTGATCATATAAAAATATTGGTACCTTGCAAGACTCCCTTTTTCATTAACTGTCATGGGTCTTCCAGACACTTGATAGCATAGAGACCAAAGGTATGAAAATGTGTGTTCCATTTTAGGGATTCTTTAATCATGATTTCCTTATATTCTGTAATATTTTATACTAATGTTGTTTTTCAAAATTATGGATGGAAATAATTTATCCAATGTTTCATGTCTCTGCTTCACCTCAAAATAAAACATGCAGAGAGATATGAGTATTAATCCCAGCTTCACTAGTTACTTACTTCATCACCCTAGACCATTACTTGATCTCTGTGAGCCTCAGTTTTCTCTTTTGCAAAATGAAAATAATATCTGTTTTTCAGTTTTATAAGGAATTAAAATAGATAAGTGTAATGCATAAGTATGAAATTATACAACCATATGAGACTTTTATCATTACTGTGATAGCCTAAATTAACACAGGAAACCATCCAACCACACACACATTCCAACAAATAACGAGATTGAATCTTGTAATTTTAAAAACAAACAAGTATGCAGACCCATTGCCACTTTTGAGTGTAAGAAAGGGAAAACCTCAGACACCATGTTTGAAGAGGTATTTCAAAACCAAAGTAATTGATGAGAATTAAAGCTTACTTGTAGATTCATGGAATATCTGAACTAGATATACTTCTAGATGACAGTGAGTATAATGTTTGAGTGAGGTAGAATGTTGAGGCTTCAGACCTCTTAGGGAATTGGAGTTGAGCTCTCAGCATAAAGAAAGGAACCTGGAAAATATATGCTGTTAATAAAATAATCTTTTAAAAAAACTACTACTCTCTGTCCAGAGGATGCAGCATAAAAACAGAACAATCCCTAAGGACTATGAGTGAATAAAAGTCTCAAGAAAAATCAGAACCCTAAACCTGTGTTATGTGTGGATGGGAGGTTTAAAATGGAACACTTTGCCTCAAATGTAAAAATCGAGGTGAGAAATTAACTTTCAAAACTAGTCCCAAACTGATAAAACTTGTAATGACCCCCAGAAAGGCAACCTTCATTTAAGACCACTTCTTCCCAGAGCACTTGCCACTTTGGCTAGAGGTGAGCTGTACTCAAATGTTACAAAGCATGAAAGGAAAACAAGTAAAACAAGAATTTTTCCACAGATAGAAGAAACATAATTTATACCCCAGGAGCCACACATAAATACAGAAATGAAAGAGATCTTAAAATACGTTTATTTAAATATTTAAAAGAAGGGTAGGATAAGAACAGGATATAATGACAAAGGAACAAAGATAATATCTAGAATTGAAAATATAATTATTGAAACAAAAATCTCAATGATAGTAAAACATCAGCTTTAAAAATACCTAGATAAGAGAATTGGAAGCGGTCTCTAGTATAGTATGTGTTGCAGAGGAGATGCTCGTACATTTTAGTTTCCTTCCTATTATTTCCTTATCATCTCCTTTCATCCATATTTTCTGTTGTTGGCACATGATATGAGAATAGTGAGCTCCACTTTTGCTTTTGTTTTACTCTGCCCATATGAGTGAGAAACACAGTATAGGCTATTGAATCTTTGATGCAAGGAAGAAAGATGTTATAAAATACTGAACTTATTATTCATTGTAGGAAATTATCTGGCTTTGACCTAAGAGCAGTTACACAAAGTGGGAGTTTCTGTAATAATTTACAATGCGTTTCATCTGAAGACAGAGAAAGAATGTCAAGGGTTTAATGTATTTTACGAGATGTGAGTCTAAATTAATGCATTTCTCAAAAATTGCTAGTTCAGTAAAAAGGAATAATTTGATTTAAAAATGTGTAGTATAGGGATTGATTTTACTTGTTTGAATTTCTGTTACATGTGATAAATTAGTACTAACAGATAAACTAATATTTTCTCATGTGTAGTCATTTACTTTTCATTTTAAAACTTTTGTTAATATTTCCCATAGTTTCTGAATCAGAGATTTCCCAAGAAGCTGATGACATGGCAATGGAAAAAGGGAAATATGTTGGTGAACTGAGAAAAGCATTGTTGTCAGGAGCAGGACCAGCTGATGTATACACGTTTAATTTTTCTAAAGAGTCTTGTTATTTCTTCTTTGAGAAAAACCTGAAAGATGTCTCAGTAAGTAAAACTTTCCAAAATGTTACATAGTAAAATGTCAGAGCATTTATTGAGGAATTATATTTAAATTTAAGTGACTACTATATTATTCCCAGAACACCTCAGAAGCAAAAGCTTGAAAAGTACTTGGTTTCCAAATTAGAAGAATACTTCAAAGCTAAAGTCATTAAATATATTAATGAATCATGAAAAATAAATATTGGAAAATGTGTTTAGTTTTTAATGCTTGAAAAATTTTAAAGTATTACAGAGTTAATTATACAAAAGAATAATCTTGAAAAAGGTGAGATCAGAAGTTTTAGGCCATCGTGACAGGTCTTATTGAAAAAAGTTTTGTGAAATATTGATTTTAAGAAATAAAATCAATCAAAATATATCTTTGAATATAGAATAATTATGACTTATTTTCTACTTTACTAGAGTATATTTGAAATTGAAAAATGCATAGTAAGTATTAAGGATACTTTATATTGTCAGATTTAAAAATATTAAAATAGAAATAACTTGAAGCCTAAGCTTTGCAAACAAGAGTATCTGCTACTTATTCTGCTCAGTTCCTGCACCAATTCAGATCAAGGCAGGTGGTTTATTTATTAAAGTCTGGCACTAATTATTTGTATATTTTACCTAAGTTTAATAGATACTGAATTTGTTTTTTTAACCAGTGGTTTTCAGTCATATATGAGATCTATCATTTCTGAAGGAGAGGGAAGGAAATGTTTGCTACATTAAGTTAACAGAAATGTATTGAGAATTTGTTTTAGTGCTCAACTGAGTTTAGGAAATTCTTTTAAATCAACCTTTTAAATTTGGAATAATTAAAGAGATTTCATTAATTAGATAAACATTTGTAGAAACAAATGGAGTCATTATAAATTTATATTATCGTGTAGGGAATAATGCAGAGAAACTACCCTTAGTAATTTATATTTAAAATAAACATACTTTTTCTAATTAGCTGCCAATTTATATAAGTTTCAATATGCTGAATTTCTTAAAATGGTAATTTAAAATAGGTTCAGTAAGAAGGTTGGAACTAGCTACTACAATTTTGTTATTTATTGTAAGTGTTCTTTCCTGTGGCCCAAGCTCAATCGGATGATATTATATGTTACAGAAGTGCAGACTCTTCTAATGTTTTGAAGCAGATCATTGCCAAATTGGGATTAATGCCATTTCCCATTCACTAAACATTTGCATGTAACAACTAGCATTATTTTGTGCAGCGATTTTCTAGTTTTTATCTGTTTCACACATATTGATACATAATAAATTCCAAATTAGTGAGGTACATTTTAGAAGGCTGAAAGGCTTTTGAAATTTTTGACATGCTAAAAGACGGGGCTTGGTACAGTTGGCATGTATATTAATCTGTTCTCACACTGCTAATAAAGACATACCCAAGGCTGGGTAATTTATAAAGGAAAAAGATTTAATTGACTCACAGTTCCATATGGCTGGGGAGGCCTCACAATCATGGTGGAAAGCAAAAGAGGAGCAAAGTCACATCTTACATGGTGGCAGGCAAAAGAACATGTGCAGGGGAACTCCCCTTTATAAAATCATTAGATCTCATGAGACTTATTCACTATCATGAGAACAACACAGGAAAGACCCCTCATTCAGGATTCAGTTACCTCCCGCTGGGTCCCTCTCATAACACTTGGGAATTATGAGAACTACAATTGAAGATGAGATTTGGGTGGAGACACAGCCAAACCATATCATTCCGCCCAGCCCCTCCCAAATCTCATGTCCTCACATTTCAAAACCAATCATTCCTTCCCAAGAGTCCCCCAGAGTCTTAACTCATTTCAGCATTAACTCACAAGTCCACAGTCCAAAGTCTCATCTGAGACAAGGCAAGTTCCTTCTACCTATGAGCTTGTAAAATCATAAACAAGTTAGTTACTTCCCAGATACAATGAGGGTACAGGCATTGGGTAAACATACCCATTTCAAATGGGAGAAATTGGCCAAAACAAAGAGGCTACAGGCGCCATGCAAGTTCGAAATCCAATAGGGCAGTCATGAAACCTTAAAGTTCCAAAATGATCTCCTTTGACTCCATATCTCACATCCAGGTGATGCTAATGCAAGAGGCGGACTCCCACAACCTTGAGCAGCTCCACCCCTGTGGCTTTGCAGGGTACAGCTCCCTTCCTGGCTGCTTTCATGGGCTGGCATTGAGTGTCTGTGGCTTTCCCAGGGGCACAGTGCAAGCTGTCGGTGGATCTACCATTCTGGGGTCTGCAGGAAAGTGGCCCTAATCTTATAGCTTCACTAGGCAGTGCCCCAGTGGGGACTCTGTATAGGGGCTCCAACCCCACATTTCCCTTCTATACTGCCCTAGCAGAGGTTCTTCATGAGGGCCCTGCCCCTGCAGCAAACTTCTGCCTGGACATCCAAACATTTCTTTCTTTTTTTTTTTTTTTGAGACGGAGTCTCGCTGTGTCACCCAGGTTGGAGTGCAATGGCGTGATCTCCATCTCCACTCACTGCAAGCTCCGCCTCCTGGGTTCATGCCATTCTCCTGCCTCAGCCTCCCAGGTAGCTGGGACTATAGGCGTCCGCCACCATGCCCAGCTAATTTTTTGTATTTTTAGTAGAGACGGGGTTTCACCATGTTAGCCAAGATGGTCTCAATCTCCTGACCTCGTGATCCGCCCGCCTCAGCCCCCCAAAGTGCTGGGATTACAGGCGTGAGCCACCGCACCCAGCGCAGACATTTCTATACATCATCTGAAATCTAGGCAGAGGTTCCCAAACCTCAATTCTTGGCTTCTGTGCACTCGCAGGCTCAACACCATATGGAAGCTGCCAAGACTTGGGACTTGTACCCTCTGAAGCAAGGCCCGATCTGTACCTTTGCCTGTTTTAGCGACTGCTGGAGTGACTGGGATGCAGGGAACCAAGTCCCTAGGCTGCACGCTGCAATGGGGGCCTGGACCTGGCCCAGGAAACTGTTTTTACCGCCTAGGCCTCTGGAGCCTATAATGGGAGGGGCTCCTGTGAACATCTCTGACATGCCTCGGAGACATTTCCCCCATTGTCTTGGTGATTAACATTTGGCTCCTTATTACTTATGCAAATTTATGCAGCAGGCTTGAATTTTTCCCCCAAATATGGGCTTTTCTTTTTTATTGCATCGTCAGGCTGCAAATTTTCCAAACTTTTATGGTCTGCTTCCTGTTGAATGCTTTGCTGCTTAGAAATTTCTTCTGCTAGATACCCTAAGTCATTTCTCTCAAGTTGAAAGTTCCACAGATCTCTGGGGAAGGGGCAAAATGCCCCCAGTCTCTTTGCATAGCAAGAGTGACCTTTAGTTCCCAACAAGTTCCTCATGTCCATCTGAGACCACCTAAGCCTGGACTTCGTTGTCTGTATTAGCATTTTGTTCCAAGCCATTCAACAATTCTCTAGGAAATTCCAAACTTTTTCACATCTTCCTGTCTTCTGAGCCCTCAAGTCTCTAGGAAGTTCCAAACTTTCCCACATTTTCCTGTCTTCTTTTGAGCCCTCCAAACTGTTCCAGTCTCTGCCTGTTACCCAGTTCCGAAGTTTCTTTCACATTTTCGGGTACCTTTATAGCAGCACTCCAGTCTACCGGTACCAATTTACTGTATTAGTCTGTTCTTACACTGCTAATAAAGACATACCCGAGGCTGGGTAGTTTATAAAGGAAAGAGGTTTAAATGATTCACAGTTCCACATGGCTGGGGAGGCCTCATAATCATGGCAGAAAGAGAAGGAGGAACAAAGTTACGTCTTACATGGTGGCAGGCAAGAGAGCATGTGCAGGGGAGCTCCCCTTTATAAAACCTTTAGATCTCATGAGACTTATTCACTTTCATGAGAACAGCACAGGAAAGACCCACCCCCATGATTCGATTACCTCCCACCATGTTTGTCTTACAACATGTGGGAATTATGGGATCTACAATTCAAGATGAGATTTAGGCCGGGTGCCTCCCAGCACTTTGGGAGGCTGAGATGGGCGGATCACCTGAGGTTGGGAGTTCCAGACCAGGCTGACCAACATGGAGAAACCCCGTCTCTACTAAGAATACAAAATTAGCTGTGCATGGTGGCGCATACCTGTAATTCCAGCTACTTGGGAGGCTGAGGCAGGAGAATGGCTTGAACCCGGAAGGCAGAGGTTGCGGTAAGCCAAGATCACACCATTGCACTTCAGCCTGGGCAACAAGTGTGAAACTCTGTCTCAAAAAACAAACAAACAAACAAACAAAAAAACAAGATGAGATTTGGGTGGGGACACAGCCAAACCATATCAGCCTGGATGGAGTACTTGCCATGACTGGCAGTACATCAGGTTTTACCCTTTCTATGAAGAAAGAGCTTTAAGTCCTCTTGATTCATGTCTTCTACAGTTGGTTTGGCATATATCAACATCAAAGACTCATAATAATCCTGAAAGATTTTTGCTTACCACCCTGAAAGTAAACAACTTTATCAGAGCCAGCATCTTGAACTACAGGTACTACCTTTTCAACAAATGTTCACAAGTAATGGAAGCAGCCTGAAAGATTACCAGCAATGCAAAAAGTGTGCTGGTTCCCCAGAGAATGTCTTAAAGCACTACATTGCAGTCTAAATATCTGTCTCCTTATTTATTCATTTATTTATTTGTTTATGAGAAAGAAAAGAATATTCTCAGAACGGCTTGACAAGGAGGAGTTTATTCATGGCTTGGCTTGAGAGATATTTTGGATATTTAGATGAGGTAAAACTTTCAGTGGATGGATGCAGCTGAGAGATCACAAGTTCATTTGGCCAAGGTGTCATGGGAGTCTTCCAGTATTCAGGATGTGCTTCTGCAGACTGATTTCAGAGTGACAATGTCTTGTAGATTCATCTGCTGGCAAAAAAAATCTGCAGACAATGGGAAACATGGCAGACAGAATACTTTTTTAAAGCTAATTTTGCTTGGATGACCTAAAAATTGAGAAGGAGTTTGTAATCCTTTTCTTGATGATACAAACATCTGATTGTTGCCAAAAATGACCTCCTAAACTTAGAAGAAAGGAAAAGAATGAACATAAATTCAACTAAAAAAGTTGTGAATTCTGTTGTTTCTTAATGTAAGGTTGCTCCTCCGTGACAAAGACTTGCTCCCAGATGCATACCTCTGGGAGTCAGGGTTTTAGGCATTTATTGCCATCAGTTCAAGAAATTTTGTGTATCTAATTGTGTGTTCACTGTGCAATTTGAACATTTTGAATATCTAACTTATATAAGAATTGTTTGAAATTTACATTTATAACAAACTTTCTTTTTTTCTTAAAAGGAAGTAACCACTATTTTAGTATTCAAAAATACCTGATATTTTGAAAATCCTGTCTTATGTTTTGTCTGAGTGAAAGAATTACCAGTTTCTCTCTCTCTTTTTTTTTTTTTTTTTTTTTTTTTTTTTTTGAGATGGAGCCTCACTCTGTCACCCAGGCTGGAGTGCAATGGTGCAATCTCAGCTCACTGCAACCTCTGCCTCCCAGGTTCAAGTGATTCTCCTGCCTCAGTCTCCTGAGTAGCTGGGATTACAGGTGCATGTCACCATGCCCAGCTGATTTTTGTATTTTTAGTAGAGACGGGGTTGTGCCATATGGGCCAGGCTGGTCTCGAACTCCTGACCTCAAGTGATCTGCCTGCCTCGGCCTCCCAAAGTGCTGGGATTATAGGCATGAGTCACTGTGCCCAGCCAGAATTACCAATTTCTAATGTAGTGAAATATTTAAAATTTTTAGCTTGTTTGTCAATATTTATACTCATGTTTTGGGAGCAGTGGGTCAGCAATTTTCATGAGATTGCTTTTGAGCTTATCCTCCCAAAACTTCCCTTAGGCTTTAATTGGCTTTTCTTTATAGATAACATAGATCCTTTTATTTTAACTTCATTCTCATTTGAATAAATGTTGGGCGAACAGCTACACACTAATTTCTTTTCTCCATAGAGTGCGAACCCATGTGACCCTTCCTGCCTTAGTGCTCTTCATTTAACAGTAGATTGTTCTGGTTGAAAGCATACTATAGTGCCAGCATTTGGAACTCCTCATCTCTTCAGCACAAGGACTGTCACTCACACAAGAGATCATTTGTGTGCTTTGGGCCACTGTTTTCCCTCTACCTTTAACAATTTATCCTGATTTTGCCATACAGACTTTGTCATGCTAACAATGCATCTTAATGAATAATGTATTCATCTTCCTTTTTTGCTTTCATATCTCACTCTGTTTCTTTAGAAAAATATTCATTTATGAGTCAAAGAAAAACAATTATTTTTGATAAGAATAACCTTGGGCTAGTCATTTAACCCTAATTTCCTCATGATTCTGTTTTTTCATCTGTGCAATTTTTAAGTGATTTCTTAGATTAATTCCAGCTTAGCTAACATATTGTAGAGCTACATATATATGTGTGTGTGTGTGTGTGTGTGTGTGTGTGTGTGTGTGTGTGTATGTATGTATATGTATGTATATATAAACATTTTGGCTATAAGGATATGTCTTTTTAAAAAAATTAATTTAATTTTATTTTAAGTTCTGGGATACATGTGCAGGATGTGTAGGTTTGTTACATAGGTAGACGTGTGCCATGGTGGTTTGCTGCACTTATGAAGCCATCACTTAGGTAGTAAGCCCAGCATGCATTAACTATTTTTCCTGGTGCTCTCCCCTTGCCTGGACCCCCTGACCAGCCCCAGTATGCATTGTGCCCCTCCCTGTGTTCATGTATTTTTGTTGTTCCCCAGTGAAGGAAGCTATGAGGTTTGAAGAAAAATTAAACATGATTTAATACATATATATATGTGTATGTATATACATCTCCACACACACACACACACACACACACACACACACATATGTATATAGTGAATATCTAAAACTCTAGAATTTGCTACAAGTCTCTAGTAGAATTAATGCAAAGTCTACTTCTATTTCTTTACCCTCATTTCCCCTACTACTTAAATAGCATAGAGGTTTATTTTTCAGTGATATAAAAATCCAAATAGGCAAACCTGGGTTAATATAATGGCTTTATGATATTGGAGACACAGGCTTCTTTGATCATGTTCCCTTGGCTTTTTTTTTTTTCTTTAATTGAGACAGGGTCACACTTTTTTGCCTAGTCTGGAGTACAGTGATGTGATCATAGCTCACTGTAACCTCTGACACTTAGGCTCACAAGAACCTCCTACCTCAGTCTCCCAAAGCACTGGATTACAGGCATGAGTCAGTGTGCCCAACAGTCTACTTTGTAATTTTTAACAGGTAGTTTTTATTTCATAGTCCAAGATGACTTGTCTAGTTTTACTATTATGTTCACCTTTGAGGCAGCAGGACCCAGTTAAAGAGACAGGAAATAATATGTGCTTTTTCTTTAAGACAGTCACTCCCAAATTTGATACATTCCTTTTGCTCACGTCCCATTGGCCAGAATGTAGTCACATGGCTTCACCTAGCTGCAAGGGAATCTGTGAAATGTGATCTTCAGCTGTGTCTTGTGCACAGAAGTTTTCATTACTGTGTAAAAACTGGAAGATGGATATCAATGGTCAACTAGCAATCTATGCATTTAACATGCAGGGAAGATTGAAATATCATTCAGAAGGCTTTGCTGTTTTTGTTGCAAGGATGTTTGTTTAGCATTTCATTACAAATAAGGGTTTCAGTCATATTTCAATTTAAGAAATGTTACAACATAAAGTAAGTATACTTTAAAGGATAAAGTAAGTATCCTACTCTGTATCTTACTATATTTTAGAAGTTTTATTTATTTTTTAGTGGAAAATCCATTCTAAGTTTCAGACAGCCTTCCCACCATTATTTAATTGACGTTTCTCAAATATATGAAAATGAGGTAAAACCAGTTTGCCAAAATAAACATCCAGAGTTCTTTTTAAAAACAGCAGTCCAAAATCCTATATTATTGCCATGTGTCCCTGTGGTTTCAGGGACTCTGAATTCAAAGGGCTATTTCCAGATGAAATATCAGAATTGTAGCATTTATTGTGTATTCTGCCAAAGATTTTGTCAAAAATAGTAATGACTTTCAGGTCTGTGGGAATATGGGTTGCAGATGTGTTGTTTGAATGCCTGAAAAGGAAATCATAGTATTCTTTATTTTGGTGATAAAAGTATTTGTGTACATGTGCCATTTTGATACTGAACACTATATAATTTTTGTGATCTTTTTGGAATGTGAGGACTAAGTAATGTAAGTGGTGAAGAAATCCCATTAAAAGTATACGTTTTCTAGCTAAGCCATATATTAAATTTTATAATTTGAAAAACAAAAATATCAGTGTTTAGTTATACTGTTTTTTGTTTGTGGACCCATTTTCTTTCTTGCTTCATATTTTTCTGCCTTTATTTAAAATGTTTGCTTCAATAATAAATATTTTAAAGTCATTATATCTTAACTTTTTTGTTCAGAAAAGGAACAACTTAGCATAAGAACAGAGCAGAAGTAGGCATGGCATAGTGGCTCATGCCTGTAATCCCAGCACTTTGGAAGGCCAATGTGGGAGGATCACTTGAGGCCAGGAGTTCAAGACCAGCCTGGACAATATAGTGGGACCCTTCTCTCTACCAAAAAGAAAAAAGTAAATTAGCTGGGCATGGTGGGACATGCCTGTAGTCCCAGCTACTTAGGAGGCTGAGGTGGGAGAATAACTTTAGCTGGGGAGTTTGAGGCTGCAGTGAGATAAGCTAAGGTTGTGCCAGTGCACTGCAGCCTGTCCAGCCTGGGTGACAGAGACAGAGTGAGACCTTGTCTCACAAAAAAAAAAAAAAAAACAATAACAGAAACAAAAACAAACAAACAAAATAAAAAACCAGAAGTAGAAAATAGCATTGTAAAAACTATGTTGTAAAAGGACATTTCAATTTAACAATATTAATATTTGCTTATTTTCAGTTAATCTACTTCAGCATGCAATCTCATACTTCATCAAGCGCACTTGGTATTGTCACTGTTTATACATGAAGCAATACATGCTGAAAGTATAAGTGAGTTGCTAAGGAAAACAGGTAGTAAGCTAAGCTAGGATAGAATTCAGGCCGCTGTTTTATGAATACCAAATCAGTTTTTTTTTAAATTTGTTTAGGGATAATTTACAAACAATTAAATGTACTTATGGTGAGTATACAGTTTTCAGTATTCATAAAAGCACTTTCAAGCCTCTTTGCAGTCAGGCTCCCAACTACCTGTTTTCTTCTCCCAACCCTACCTACTCTCAAGGCCCCAGGCAGCCATTGGGCTGCTTTCTTTCGTTATAGATCAGCTTTACATGTTTTAGAATTTCATGTGAATGGAACTATGCAGTGTGTATTCTGGCTCATAACTTTATTTGCATAGTATAACATTTTTGAGATGTCTCATTGTGTGCTGTATATCAGCATTTCATTCCTTCCATTGCTGAGTAGTATTCCATTGTATTGATATACCACTTTTACTTTTTGATGAATATCTGGTGATTTCAAGTTGTGGGCTGACATGAATAAAGCAGCTATATACATTCATGTCTAAATCTTTTTGTGGGTATGTTTTAATTTTTAACAACTTTATTGTGATACAATTAATTTATAAAATGTGCATATAGAAAGTATACAACTGGGTAAATTTTAAAATGTGTACATACCCATGAAACTGTCACCATAATCAAGATGATAAATCCTCAACCTGCCCAAATTTTTTAGTACCCATCATAATTCCTTTCTCCCTCCTTCCTACCTCTTCACTCAGTCCCCAGAAAACCACTGATTAGATTTCTGTCATTATAGATTGGTTTACATTATCCATACATTTAACCATACAGTATGTACTTCTTTTTTCGGTCTGGTTTCTTTTATTCAGCGTAATTGTTTTGCGATTCCTCCATGTTGTTGTAAGTTTTAATAATTTATTCTTTTTTTCCTGCTGAGTGGTGTTCCATTTTATGGATACACCCCAATTTGTTTATGCATTCACCAGTTGGTGGACATTTGGGTTGCTTCCAGTTTTGGACTATAACCAATAAAGCTGCTATGAACATTTAAATCTTTGTATGGACATATGTTTTATTTGAATAATATATAGGAGTAGAATAGTTGGGTTATATGGTAGGCATATGTTTAGCTTTTTAAGAAACTGCCCAACAGTGTTCCATAGAGTTCGTACTATTTTACATTCCCATCATCAGTATATGAGTTCCAGTTTCTCCACATCCTTGTCATTACTTGGTATGGTCAGATTTTTCATTTTAGACATTTTAGTGGGTGTGTGACCATGTCTCATATTTTAAATTAGCATTTCCCTAATGTCTAATGATATTATTTGCCATCTATATATCTTCTATAGTGACATATTTGTTTAAATCTTTCACATTTGTTTTATTTGGGTTGCTTATTTTCTTACTGAGTTTTGAAGAACTCTTCATATCCTTAACAGATACACAATTTGCAAATACTTTCTCCAAGTTTGTGGGAGAAGCAGATAATTTCTTAACTTTGAGGAACTTACTTTTTTTTCTTTTATTAATCATGCTTTGAGATCACTTCTAATGCATTTTTGCCTAACTTGTTGCAGACTTACGCTTTCATGCATGAGCGCTATAGTTTTAGATTTTACATTTAGAGTCTGTGATACATTTTGAGTTAATTTTTGTACATACTTTAAGGTATGGGTTGAAGTTCATTTTTTATATGAATATTTAGTCATTCTAGCACCATTTATTGAATTCCCTGCTGAATTTTTCTTGCACTTTGTTGAAAATCAATTAACCACGTGTGTATTGGTCTATATTGGGACTCTATACTGCCCCATCAATCTATTTGTTTAGCTCTGTGCCAGCCATAATCTGTCTTGATTACTTAGGCTTATAATAAATCATGAAATCAGGTGAAATCATGTAGTATAACTTCTTCAACTTTGTTATTTTTGAATTTGCTTTAGTTATCTATTATTTCAAATATTTTTATGAGGTGTAGAATCAGTTTCTCAATTTTTCCAAACAAGTCTGCTGGAATCTTAATTGAGGATGCATTGGATCTACAGAATTGACATCTTAACCATATTAAGCCTTCTGACTCATAAATATAATACATCCATATATTTAGGTCAGTGTTTCCTACCCAGGGGAGATTTTGCTCATCTAGGGTCACTTGGCAATATCTGAAGACATTTTTGATTGTCACGGCCAGCAGCTCCTAACAGGCATCCAATGGGAAGAAGGCAGGGATGTTGCTAAGTATTCTATAAGGTGCAGGGCTTCCCTCCACCCCAAAAATTATCTGATCCAGAATGTCAGTAGTGTTGAATTTATAAATCTTGATTTAGATCTCATCAATTACTCAGCAATTGTTTGTAGTTTTCAAATTATAGATCTTATGCATTTTATATTAGGTTTATCACTTTGAAGCAGAAAGTGAGGTCACTGAATTAAAACTTTCCTTTTTTCTGATATACAATTTAGGATCTAAATTTTATTCCAAATGCTTCATTTGGAATAACTTCATTCCTCACATTTTGGTATGTTGTGTTTTCATTTTCATTTAAAGTATTTCCTAATTTCCCTTTTCATTTTAGTCCTCACCCTTGAATTAATTAGTAGTTTGTAATTTTGTTTTCAATTTTGTTTGATATTACAGATATCGTGCCAATACTGGTTTTTAATTTAGGTCCATTGTTGTTAGACAACTTTATGTGACTTGAATCCCTTTAAATTTATTGGGACTTGTATTATGGCACTGAATGTAACCGTTGTTCAATGTTTTGTATGCACTTGAAAGAATTATTCATTTGCTATTTTTGGGTGTTATTAGATGTTTGGGTATTTTTAGGAATTAATTAGATCAGGTTGGTTGGTGGTGTTAAGTTTTCTATATTCTTGCTTATTTTCTGTCTACTTCTTTTAAAAGTGACTGATAATGTATTAAAATCAAGAACTGTAATTCTATATTTGTCTTACTTCTCCTTGAAGTAATATCAGACATTACTTCATGTATTTTGAGTCTTTGTTAATTAGGTGTAAAACATTAAGCTTTGACATGCTCTCTTGATGAGCTGACCTCTTTTTCACTATGAAATGACCCTCTAATTCTATTGATGTTATTTGTCCTGAAAATCTACTTTATGCATGTTCTTATACTCCTCTAGTTTTCTTTTGATTGGAATCCACGTGGAATATTTTTTCATCCTTTTGCTTTTAATTATTTTTCTCTTTATGTAAATTAGATTTCTTTTAGGAAGTGTATAGTTGGGTGTTGTTTTTTTAATCCAGTCTATCAATCTGTGTTTTTCCATTGGGATGTTTAGGCCATTTATGTTTTATGTAATTATTGACAATTACATAAAAAAATGGTGGTTTAAAAATCTACTATCTCTGTTTGTTCCATCTTTATTTTATTTACTTGTTCCTCTCTGTTTTATTTTGGGTTAAGTATTTTTTATTATTCTTTTATCTTTTTAGTTATCTTGTTATCTATAACTCATCTTTATGCTATTTTTATGTTTGCTTTAGGGTTTATAGCATACATCTTTACCTTATCACAGTCTACATTGAAGTGATATACTACTTCACAGATATTATGGCACCATACTTTCATTTCTGCTTTTATGAGCTTATGCTATTGTGGTCATACATTTTACTTCTACATATCTTATACACTTCACAGTTATTGTTACATTGATTTTTTTTACTTTTAACAGTTAACTTACTTTTTTAACTTTTCATTTTGAAATAACTTTAGAGTCGAAAAGTTTCAACAGTAATACACAGAGGTCCTGTGTACCCTTCACTCAGCTTTCCCGATGATAACAATATATAACTGTAGTACATTATTGAAAGCAGGAAATTGACTTTGGTACAATATTATTAACTAAACTACAGACTGTACACAGATTTTATCAGTTTTTATGTGCACTGTTTTTATTGTTCTTGTTGTTGTTTCGGCATATAGTTATGTGAATTTGGTTCCACATATGGATTCATGTAACTACCACCATAGTCAGGGTACAGAACTCTTTTATTACCTCAAAGAAACCTCTTTATTCCCTTGTGTTACCCCCTTTATATTCAGACTATCCATCCAATATAATCCCTGGTAGCCACCGATCTGTTTGTCACTGTAGTTTTGTCACTTTGAGAATATTAGTGGAATTGTACAATATATATCCTTTTGAGATTGGCTGCTTTTCACTGACCCTAATACTTTTGAGATCCACCAAATCGTTGAATGTATCAGTAGATCATTTTCTTTATTGTTGAGTAGTCTATTCTTACCTCATGGAATGCCATGGATGCACCACACTTTGTTTATTCATTTATTCACTGAAAAAAACCTTTAGGTTGTTTCCACTTTTTTGGCTATTAGAAAGCTGCTTTGGACATTCATGTACAGGTTTCCATGTGAGCATAAATTTTCATTTATTTAGTACAAGGGTTGGCAAACAATAGCCTGTGAATTGGCTGCCCATTTTGGGAAATAAAGTTTCACTGGAATGCATGCATGCTTATATATTGTCTGTGTGTACTTTTGTGCTACAATGGCAAAGTTGAATAGTTGCAACAGAGTCCTCTATGGTGTGTAATGACTCAAATATTTACCTTTCGCCCTTTTAGAAACAGGTTGCTGACCCCTGCTCTAGGATAAATAAATATCTAGGATTGTGAATGCAGGGCTGTATGGTAAGTATGTGTTTAACTTTATCAGCAAGTGCTACATTGTTTTCCCAAATGGGTGTACTATTTTACATTCTTACCAGAAATATATAAGATCTACATTCTTATCAGCACTTGGTTTTGTCAGAATTTTTGCCTTTAGCCATTCTAATAGGTGTGTTATGGTATCTTATTGTGGCTTTAATGGACATTTCTTTAATGGCCAAGGTGCTGAAAAATCTTTTCATATGTTTATTTGCCATCTCTGTATCCCATTTGTTGGTTTGTTCAAATCTTTTACCCCTTTTTGATTGTATTTTTATTTTTGTTGTATGTGTAATGTGAAACTATTTTCTTCTAGTCTCTTGCTGGTCTGATCATTTTATTAACAGGGTCTTATGTAGAGCAAAAGCTTTTATTTTTGATGAAGTCCAATTTGTGGACTATTTTTCTTCTATGCTTTTGCTTCTGGTGTCATGTCTAAGGACTCTTCCCTTAACCCTATGTCATACAAATTTTTGAATATGGTTTCTTTTAAAGGTTTTGTAGTTCTGTATTTTACATTTATATCTATAATCTATTTTGAATTCCTTTTTGTATAAAGTATGAGGTTGAGGTTCACTTTCTTGGCTATGAATGTCAATTGTTCTAACACCATTAGTTGAAAAGACTCTTCTCTCTCCATTAAATTGCTTTTGCATCTTCGTTAAAAATCATTGACTGGACTTGAGTGGGTCTATTTTTGTATTTTCTATGCTGCCTCATGGATCTATGTATCTGTCCCTCCACCAACACCACACTGTCTTAATTACTGCAGCTACATCCTTACCCTTTAAGTTGAGTTATGTGGGCTGGGCGTCGTGGCACATGCCTGTAATTCCAACAGGCCGAGGCGGGTGGATCACCTGAGGTCAGGAGTTCACAACCAGTCTGAATAACATGGTGAAGCTCTGTCTCTACTAAATACTAAAAAATTAGCCAGGTGTGGTGGCGCATTCCTGTAATCCGAGCTACTTGGGAGGCTGAGACAGGAGAATTGCTTCTACCTGGGAGGCAGAGGTTGCAGTAAGCTGAGATTGTGCCATTGCACTCTAGCCTGGGCAAAAAGAGTGAAACTCCATCTCATCAAAAAAAAAAAAAAAAAAAAAAATTGAGTTACGTGAATCTTCCAACTTTATTCTTTTGAAAAATTTTATTTTAGATAATTTACTTACTTTGCCTTTCCACATACACTTTTAAAATCAGTTTTACTCTATTTATTTAAAAAAATTGAGTCATAGAGTTTATCAACATGGTATGTCTATATAGGTTTACTTTGAAATCTTGCATCAGAATTTTGTAGTTTTTAGCATACAGATCCTATACATGTTTTGTTAGATTTATGCCTAAGTATTTCAGTCTTTTTGGCACTGTTATAAGTGGTATTATATTTTTAATTTGAGTTTACAGTGGCTCATTATGAGCATCTATTAATAGAAATTCAACTGACTTCTTTTGTGTTAACCGTATATTCTCCAAACTTTCTAAATTCCCTTATTTGTTCTAGGTGGTTTTTTGTTGTTATTGTTGTTTGCTTTTAAGATTCTTTGAGAATTTTTTCTGTAAACAGTGATGTTATCTGCAAATAGATGCAGTTTAAAGGCTGTTGCAGAGAGCTTCAAGGCCCAGGCAGAGACTTGCTATGGGGATGGGGCTGCCACAGAGCCCCCACAAAGTCAATGCCCAGGGGAACTGTGGGGTATAAGCTGCTACTGAGAGCCCCCTTCTCCACTACTGCAATGCCTGGTAGAGCTGTGGGAAGAAGGCCACCTGAATACTCCAGAACTAAGAGCCACGGTATGCAGTGCCAGCCTGGCAAAGCTTACAAGCATAGGTTTTAAATGTGTGAGAGCTGTAATGTGGGCTGTGCCAGCAAAGCCATGGGGGCAGGAATGTCCAAATCTTAGAGACTCAATCCTTCCAACGTATCTGGAAGGTGGGACATGGAACCACATAAGATTATTCTCCAGCCTTATGGTCTAACATTGTATGCCTTGTTGGGCTTTAGACATTTCTGGGACTTGCAACTCCCTTCTTTTTTCCTGTTTCTCTTTTTGGAATAGAAATACCTGTCTTACGCCTGCATTGTGTTTTAGAGCGACAAAACTTACCTGTTTGATTTTACAGGGAAATTTGCTTAAGGATTAATTGTTCCTTGAGTCTCACCCATATCTGATTTAGATGAGACTCTGGACTTTAGACTTTTGTGTTGCTGCTGAAATGAGTTAAGACTTTTGGGGCTACTGGGATGGAATGGATGTATTTTGTGTGTTATAAGGACATGAATTTGGGGGGCTAGGGGTGGAATACTATGGTCTGAATATGTCTCCCAAAATTTGTGTGTGGAAAACTTAACCCCTGATATGGTTTGGCTATTTCCCCACCCAAATCTCATCTTGAATTGTAGCTCCCATAATTTTCACATCTTGTGGGAGGGACCTGGTAGATGATAATTGAATTATGGGGGCAGTTTCCCACATACTGTTTTGTGGTAGTAAGTCTCACGAGATCTGATGCTTTTATAAGGTGATACCCTTTTCACTTGGTTCTCATTCTCTCTTGCCTGCCGCCATGTAAGATGTGCCTTTCACCTTCTGCCATGATTCTGGGGCCTTCACAGCTACGTGGAGCTGTGAGTCCATTAAACCGTTTTTGTTTTTGTTTTTTTTTAAATAAATTACCCAGTCTTGGGTATGTCTTTATCAGCAGTATGAAAACGGACTAATACCATCCCCAATTCAACAGTGTGAGGAAATGGGGCCTAATGGTGCATGATCAGGTCTGGAGCAATTTATTCCTCCATATAGATCCAGATTTCCATGTAATAATATTTTTCTTCTGTTTGAAGGACTTCATTTAATATTCCTTATCATGTGAGTCTGCTTAGGATGAATTCTATCGGATTTTATGTATCTTCCAAAGTCTGTACTTTGTCTTTCTTTTTAAAAGTTATTTTCACTGGGTAGAGAATTCTAAGTTGACTTTTTTTTTTTTTTTCAGTACTTTAAGAGCATTGCTCTGCCTTCTGGCTAGTTTTGTTAGTTTGTTTGTTTGTTTGCTGAGAAGTCATCTGTCATTTATTTATTTATTTATTTTTATTATACTTTAAGTTCTAGGTTACATATGCAGGTTTTTTACATATGTATACATGTGCCATGTTGCTGTGCTGCACCCATTAACTCCTCATTTACATTAGGTATATCTCCTAATGCTATCCGTCCACCCTCCTGCCACCCCACGACAGGCCCCAGTGTGTGATGTTCCCCATCCTCTGTCCAAGTGTTCTCATTGTTCAGTTCCCACCTATGAGTGAGAACATGTGGTGCTTGGTTTTCTGTCCTTGCAATAGTTTGCTGAGAATGATGGTTTCCAGCTTCATCCATGTCCCTACGAAGGATATGAACTCATCCTTTTTAATGGCTACATAGTATTCCATGGTGTATATGTGCCACATTTTCTTAATCCAGTCTATCATTGATGGACATTTGGGTTGGTTCCAAGTCTTTGCTATTGTGAATAATGCCGCAATAAACATACATGTGCATGTGTCTTTATAGCAGCATGATTTATAATCCTTTGGGTATATACCCAGTAATGGGATGGCTGGGTCAAATGGTATTTCTAGTTCTAGATCCTTGAGGAATCACCACACTGTCTTCCACAATGGTTGAACTAGTTTAAAGTCCCACCAACAGTGTAAAAGTGTTCCTAATTCTCCAGATCTTCTCCAGCACCTGTTGTTTCCTGACTTTTTAATGATCGCCATTCTAACTGGTGTAAGATGATATCTCATTGTGGTTTTGATTTGCATTTCTCTGATGGCCAGTGATGATGAGCATTTTTTCATGTGTTTTTGGGCTGCATAAATGTCTTCTTTTGAGAAGTGTCTGTTCATATCCTTTGCCCACTTTTTGATGGGGTTGTTTGATTTTTTTCTTGTAAATCTGTTTAAATTCTGTGTAGATTCTGGATATTAGCCTTTTGTCAGATGGGTAGATTGTAGAAATTTTCTCCCATTCTGTAGGTTGCCTGCTCACTCTGACGATAGTTTCTTTTGCTGTGCAGAAGCTCCTTAGTTTAATTAGATCCCATTTGTCAATTTTGGCTTTTGTTGCCATTGCTTTTAGTGTTTTAGTCATGAAGTCCTTGCCCATGCCTGTGTCCTGAATGGTAATGCCTAGGTTTTCTTCTAGGGTTTTTATGGTTTTAGGTCTAATGTTTAAGTCTTTAATCCATCTTGAATTAATTTTTGTATAAGGTGTAAGGAAGGGACCCAGTTTCAGCTTTCTACATATGGCTAGCCAGTTTTCCCAGCACCATTTATTAAATAGGGAATCCTTTCCCCATTGCTTGTTTTTCTCAGGTTTGTCAAAGATCAGATGGTTGTAGATGTGTGGTATTATTTCTGAGGGCTCTGTTCTGTTCCATTGGTCTATACCTCTGTTTTGGTACCAGTACCATGCTGTTTTGGTTACTGTAGCCTTGTAGTATAGTTTGAAGTCAGGTAGCATGATGCCTCCAGCTTTGTTCTTTTTGCTTAGGATAATCTTGGCAATGCGGGCCCTTTTTTGGTTCCATATGAACTTTAAAGTAGTTTTTTTCAATTCTGTGAAGAAAGTCATTGCTAGCTTGGTGGGGATGGCATTGAATCTATAAATTACCTTGGGCAGTATGGCCATTTTCACAATATTGATTCTTCCTATCCATGAGCATGGAATGTTCTTCCATTTGTTTGTGTCCTCTTTTATTTCATTGAGCGTGGTTTGTAGTTCTCCTTGAAGAGGTCCTTCGCATCCCTTGTAAGTTGTATTCCTAGGTATTTTATTCTCTTTGTAGCAATTGTGAATGGGAGTTCACTCATGATTTAGCTCTCTGTTATTGGAGTATAGGAATGCTTGTGATTTTTGTACATTGATTTTGTATCCTGAGACTTTGCTGAAGTTGCTTATCAGCTTAAGGAGATTTTGGCCTGAGATGATGGGGTTTTCTAAATATACAATCATGTCATCTGCAAACAGGGACAATTTGGCTTCCTCTTTTCCTAATTGAATACCCTTTATTTCCTTCTCCTGCCTAATTGCCCTGGCCAGAACATCCAACACTGTGTTGAATAGGGGTGGTAAGAGAGGGCATCCCTGTCTTGTGCCAGTTTTCAAAGGGAATGCTTCCAGTTTTTGCCCATTCAGTATGATATTGGCTGTGGGTTTGTTGTGAATAGCTCTCATTATTTTGAGATACGTCCCATCAATACCTAATTTATTGAGAGTTTTTAGCATGAAGAGCTGTTGAATTTTGTCAAAGGCCTTTTCTGCATCTATTGAGATAATCATGTGGTTTTTGTCTTTGGTTCTGTTTATATGATGGATCACTTTTATTGATTTGCATATATTGAACCAGCCTTGCATCCCAGGGATGAAGTCAACTTGATTGTGGTGGATAAGCTTTTTGATGTGCTGCTGGATTTGGTTTGCCAGTATTTTATTGAGGATTTTTGCATCGATATTCTTCAGGGATATTGGTCTAAAATTGTCTTTTTTTGGTTGTGTCTCTGCCAGGCTTTGGTATCAGGATGATGTTGGCCTCATAAAATGAGTTAGGGAGGATTCCCTCTTTTTTTATTGATTGGAGTAGTTTCAGAAGGAATGGTACCAGCTCCTCTTTGTACCTCTGGTAGAATTCAGCTGTGAATCCATCTGGTCCTGGACTTTTTTTGGTTGGTAGGCTATTAATTATTGCCTCAATTTCAGAACCTGTTATTGGTCTATTCAGGGATTCAGCTTCTTCCTGGTTTAGTCTTGGGAGGGTGTATGTGTCGAGGAATTTATCCATTTCTTCTAGATTTTCTAGTTTATTTGCGAAGAGGTGTTTATAGTATTCTCTGATGGTAGTTTTTATTTCTGTGGGATCGTTGGTGATATCCCCTTTATCATTTTTTATTGCATCTATTTGATTCTTCTCTCTTTTCTTCTTTATTAGTCTTGCTAGTGGTCTATCAGTTTAGTTGATCTTTTCAAAAAACCATCTCCTGGATTCATTGATTTTTTAAGGGTTTTTTGTGTCTCTTATCTCCTTCAATTCTGCTCTGATCCTAGTTGTTTCTTGCCTTCTGCTAGCTTTTGAATATGTTTGCTCTTGCTTCTCTAGTTCTTTTAATTGTGATGTTAGGGTGTCAATTTTGGATCTTTCTTGCTTTCTCTTGTGGACATGTAGTGCTATAAATTTCCCTCTACACATTACTTTAAATGTGTCCCAGAGATTCTGGTATGTTGTGTCTTTGTTCTCATTGGTTTCAAAGAACATCTTTATTTCTGCCTTCATTTTGTTATTTACCCGTAGTCATTCAGGGGCAGGTTGTTCAGTTTCCATGTAGTTGGCAGTTTTGAGTGAGTTTCTTAATCCTGAGTTCTAGTTTGATTGTTTAGTGCGATGTGGTTCTGAGAAGAATGTATATTCTGTTGATTTGGGGTGGAGAGTTCTGTAGATTGTCTATTAGGTCTGCTTGGTGCAGAGCTGAGTTCAATTCCTGGGTATCTTTGTTAACTTTCTGTCTCATTGATCTGTCTAATGTTGACAGTGGGGTGTTAAAGTCTCACATCCTTATTGTGTGGGAATCTAAGTCTCTTTGTAAGTCTCTAAGGACTTGCGTTTTGAATCTGGGTGCTCCTGTATTGGGTGAATATACATTTAGGATAGTTAGCTCTTCTTGTTGAATTGGTGCCTTTACCATTATGTAATGGCCTTCTTTGTCTCTTTTGATCTTTGTTGGTTTAAAGTCTGTTTTATCAGAGACTAGGATTGCAACCCCTCCTTTTTTTTTTATTTTCCATTTGCTTGGTGGATCTTCCTTCATCCCTTTATTTTGAGCCTATGTGTGTCTCTGCACATGAGATGGGTCTCCTGAATACAGCACACTGATGGGTTGTGACTCTTTCTCCAATCTGCCTGTCTGTGTCTTTTAATTGGAGCATTTAGCCCATTTACATTTAAGGTTCATATTGTTATGTGTGAATTTGATCCTGTCATTATGACGTTAGCTGGTTATTTTGCTCGTTAGTTGATGCAGTTTCTTCTTAGCATCGATGGTCTTTACAATTTGGCATGTTTTTGCAGTGGCTCATACTGGTTGTTCCTTTCCACGTTTGGGGCTTCCTTCAGGAGCTCTTATAAGGCATGTCTGGTGGTGACAAAATCTCTCAGCATTTGCTTGTCTGTAAAGTATTTTATTTCTCTTTCACTTATGAAGCTTAGTTTGGCTGGACATGAAATTCTGGGTTGAAAATTCTTTTCTTTAAGAATGTTGAATATTGGCCCCCACTCTCTTCTGGCTTGTAGAGTTTCTGCTGAGAGATCCGCTGTTAGTCTGATGGGCTTCCCTTTGTGGGTAACCTGACCTTTCTATGTGGCTGCCCTTAACATTTTTTCCTTCATTTCAACTTCGGTGAATCTGACAATTATGTGTCTTGGTGTTGCTGTTCTCGAGGAGTATCTTTGTGACGTTGTCTGTATTTCCTGAATTTGAATGTTGGCCTTCCTTGCTAGGTTGGGGAAGTTTTCCTGGATAATATCCTGCAGAGTGTTTTCCAACTTGGTTCCATTCTCCCTGTCATTTTCAGGTACACCAATCAGACGTAGGTTTGTTCTTTTCACATAGTCCCATATTTCTCGGAGGCTTTGTTCATTTCTTTTTACTCTTTTTTCTCTAAACTTCTCTTCTCACTTCATTTCATCCATTTGATCTTCAATCACTGATACCCTTTCTTCCACTTGATTGAATCGGCCACTGAAGCCTGTGCATGCGGCATGTAGTTCTTGTGCCATTGTTTTCAGCTCATTCAGGTCATTTAAGGTCTCTTCTATGCTGTTTATTCTAGTTAGCCATTCATCTCATCTTTTTTCAAGGTTATTAGCTTCTTTTCAATGGATTCAAACATCCTCCTTTAGCTCGGAGAAGTTTGTTATGACCGATCATCTGAAGCCTTCTTCTCTCAACTTGTCAGAGTCATTCTCTGTCCAGCTTTGTTCCTTTGCTGACGAGGAGCTGCATTCCTTTGGAGGAGAGGAGGTGCTCTGATTTTTAGAATTTTCAGCTTTTCTGCTCTGGTTTTTCCCCATCTTTGTGGTTTTATCTACCTTCGGTCTTTGGTAATGGTGATGTACAGATGGGGTTTTGGTGTGGATGTCCTTCCTGTTTGTTATTTCCCTTGTAATATTCAGGACCCTCAGCTGTAGGTCTGTTGGAGTTTGCTGGAGGTCCACTCCGGACTCTGTTTGCCTGGGTATGACCATCGGAGGCTGCAGAATAGCAAATATTGCAGAATGGCAAATGCTGCTGCCTGATGCTTCTTCTGGAAGCTTTGTCTCAGAGGGGCACCTGGCCATCTGAGGTGTCAGTCGGCCCCTACTGGGAGGTGCCTCCCAGTTAGGCTACTCGGGCGTCAGGGACCCACTTGAGGAGGCAGTCTGTCCATTCTCAGATCTCCAAGTCTGTGCTGGGAGAACCACTACTCTCTTCACAGCTGTCAGACAGGAACGTTTAATTGTGCAGAAGTTTCTGCTGCCTTTTGTTTAGCTAGGCCCTGCCCCCAAAGGTGGATTCTACAGAGCCAGGCAGGCCTCCTTGAGCTGCGTTGGGCTCCACCCAGTTCGAGCTTTCTGGCCGCTTTGTTTACCTACTCAAGCCTCAGCAATGGTGGACGCCCCTACCCTAGCCTTGCTGCCCCCTTGCAGTTTGATCTCAGATTGCTGTTCTAGCAGTGAGCGAGGCTCCATGGGCATGGGACTCTCCAAGCCAGGCGTGGGATATAATCTCCCAGTGTGCTGTTTGCTAAGACCATTGGAAAAGCGCAGTACTAGGGTGGGAGTGTCCTGATTTTCCAGTTGAGAGGTGACAACATGCAAGCAGCCCTTGCTTGCTCTTGGTGCCTCCTTGGCCTTGTCGTCTGCTCTGGCTGCACTTGAGGAGCCCTTCAGGCCACCACTGCATATGAGGGCCCCTCTCTGGTGCTTGCCAAGGCTGGAGCTGGCTCCCTCTGCTGGCGGGGCAGTGTGAAGAGAGAGGCGCTGGCGGGAGTTGGGGCTGTGCGTGGTGCTCGCGGGCTGGTGTGGGTTCCAGGTGAGCACGGGCTGGGCAAGCGCCGCAGTCTTCACGGCCGGCTAGCTCCTTCTGGGCTTGATCGGAGGCTGAATCCCATGCTTGGACCGCTGTTCCCTATTCGTGGAATCATTGACCATGATAGCAGGTCTCCGTCTCTTTCTCGCTTTCCCTATTTTCCTCTTGATTGTCTGGAACGAGCTCCCTCTGGGCTGCCGGAGTGTCCGGGGTAGGTGCCGCAAAGTCCCGCGGTGAGTGCCAGTGAGAGGTGAAGCTGGCTGGGCTTCTGGGATGGGTGGGGACTTGGAGAACTTTTGTGTCTAGCTAAAGGATTGTAAACACACCAGTCAGCACTCTGTGTCTAGCTAAAGGTTTGTAAATGCACCATTCAGCACTCTGTGTCTAGCTAATTGGGTGGTGACTTGGAGAACTTTTCTGTCTAGCTAAAGGGTTGTAAATGCACCAGTCAGCCCTCTGTTTCTAGCTAAAGGTTTGTACACGCATCAATCAGCACTCTCTCAAAACAGACCAATCAGCTCTCTGTAAAACGTACCAATCAGCTCTCTGTAAAATGGACCAATCAGCTCTCTGCAAAATTGACCAATCAGTTCTCTGTAAAATGGACCAATCAGCAGGATCAGGGTGGGGCCAGATAAGGGAATAAACGCAGGCAACCTGAGCCAGCAGCAGCAACTCACTCGGGTACCCTTGCGTGTTGTGGAAGCTTTGTTCTTTCATTCTTCGCAATAAATCTTGCTGCTGCTCACTCTTTGGGTTCGCTCTGCCTTTATGAGCTGTAACACTCACTGCGAAGTTCTGCAGCTTCACTCCTGAAGCCAACAAGACCATGAACCCTCTGGGCAGAAGGAACAACTCTGGACACGCCACCTTGAAGAGCTGTGACACTGACCGCGAAGGTCTGCAGCTTCACTCCTGAAATCAGCATTGACCACGAACCCACCAGAAGGAAGATACTCCGGACACATCTGAACAGCTGAAGGAACAAACTCTGGACACACCATCTTTAAGAACTGTTAACACTCACCGCGAGGGTCCGCAGCTTCATTCTTGAAGTCCGCGAGACCAAGAACCCACTCTAAGTAATCAATTCTGGACACACAGGTACCGTCTGTCATGGCATCCCTTGGCTAGGAAAGGTAATTGCCTGACCCCTTGAGCTTCCAGGGTGAGGTGATGCCCCACCCTGCTTCGGCTCATGCTCTGTGGGCTGCACCCACTGTCTCACAAGTCCCAGTGAGATGTACCTGGTACCTCCATTGGAAATGCAGAAATCACCCATCTTCTGTGTCGCTCACACTGGGAGCTATAGACTGGAGCTGTTCCTATTCGGCCATCTTGGAAACTCCTCCTACCTTATCTTTCTTATCTAAGGCAGTATGCCTTTTTTTTTTTTCCTCAGCTGCTTTTAAGGTTTTTTCTTTTTTATCACTGCCTTTAAGCAAGTTGATTATAATATGCCATGATGTAGTTTTCTTTGTTTATTGAGCTTTGATCTATTCATTTATAGTTTTTCTATTTTCTTTTCTCGTTTTTTGGGGATTCCATTTATATGTATATTATGTTTCTGAAATTTATCACACAGCCCACTGATCCTGTATTGCCCCCTGCCACCATTTTTTTGCTTCCTGTGTTTTGTTTTGGATAGTTTCTATTGCTGTGTCTTTACATTCGCTAATCTTTTCTTCTGCTGTGCTTTGTCTAATGTGTTGTTTTTTTCATCTCAGGCATGGTGATTTTTATCTTTCTAAGTCTTTTAAAATATATTTCAAGTTTTGTTTACATTCTTGAACATAGGGAATAAAATTGTAATAACCTTTAATGACCTTGTGTATGAATATTTCTTAATCTTTGTTATTTTTGGTTTTGATAGATTTTTCTGCTCCATATGTGTTCTGTTTTTCTTTTTCTTTGCATGCCTGTTTATCTTTGATTGTATGCTAAACATTGTGAATCTTTTTATTTGGTACAGTATATTTGTATATTCCTATACACTTTTGCTTTGTTCTGGGACGTAGGTAAGTTATTTAGAAACAGTTATACTTTTTGCTCATGCTTTTAAGCTTTGTTAAACAGGAACAAACATTTATTTTAGGTTTAATTTTACCCCGCTATTGAGGCAAAATACTTCTGAGTCCTTTTACCTGATCCCTATTGTTTTTATACAAGAGGGTATAGTGAATAATTTTGTGATTATATGTGGTATTTTAGCTTTGTGTGTCAAATACATCATCTTGTCTTTAGCAAGCTAGATCACCAATTCTGACGACCCACCTATTAATAGATTTGTGCTTATTTTGCTCATGCAGAAACTTTGAAAATCTGAGATATTTTCTTCCTTTCTTGCCCTCTGCTCTGGCTTAGTCTTCTGGATACCATTGCTTCATTCCATGCACATAAGACATTCAGTGTCAGGAAAAGAATTATCCGGGTACTTGTTGAAAGTTGTGTTGCTCCTCATTGTTTAGTTACTGTTTTGGAATTTGGGTTTTCTTTTGACTATCATCGTTCCCCAACTTTAATAAAAACTTGCTATTAATTATTGTCATTAAGTTATAATCATTTAAAATTAATTAAAGATAAAACACTTAAGGTGAACCTCAGCCTTTTAAATTCTCACTTCAAAATTTCAAATTTTCAGAATATTTTTGGTTACCTACATTCTGAATGCTGTTTCAAATTATTGCATAGAAAAAAAATTTTAAGATTGATTTCTGAAGCAATAAAGACCTGCAGTACTCTTCATTGATTTAATTGAATTATATTCAGTTATTTTCTTAAATAGGCATTTTCTTTATTTTTAAAAGCAAACTGTTTATTATGAAATTCAGTCAAAAATCATATTAATGGGTTCTGGAGATCTAATTTATACCATGGTGACTATAGGTACCAATATTGTACTGTATTTGAAGGTTGCTAAGAGGATGGATCCTGTGTTCTCTTCACAAACACACACAAAAGAGGTAACCGTGTGGTGATAGATGTTAATTAGCTTGATTGTGGTGATTATTTCACATTGTAGACATAGATCAAGTCATCAAGTTGTGTACCTTATATACAAAAAAATCCAGTTTTTATTTATGATTACCATCCAAAAGTTATAAACAAGTAACCAATTGAAAAAATTAACAGAATCTAAGATATTTTAGGAACATCAAAAATCAGATGATGATGTTGATCATGATGATGGCACGTAATTATATAAAATAACTGCTAATTAAATTGGTTTAAAAGGGATATTTTATATATGAATGAAGAACAGAAATCTTCACTGATGATAAATATCACAAATTATATAATAATTAGACTTAACTGGGATGTTTCAGTAGGTGAGTTTGGAGGGGATGCAATGTAGTCTAGTTGTGTTCACACCCTCCAAAACTACTGAATTTAGCAAGTTTAGTGAGGCAGCTATAGAAATATTGTTCAAATTACATATGGTTATTAACCATTTTTGAATAGCTATAGTCTTATATTTCAAAATATTACTATTAAAACCGTTTATAGCCAGGAGAATCATATTGTGCATCTGTAACCCGTTCTTGGCATGTTATTGTCCACTGCCTAGGTAGTGATGAACCCTCCTGACTACCTGGATTTGAATCTCAGCACTGCACCTTTCAAGGTGTGAGATTTTGGCAGCTTATTCAACTGTTTGTCCTCAATTGTTTTGTTTATAATTTAGAAATAGTACTAGTACTGGCCTTAGGAGGTGGTTGTAAGGATTTAATTAATTAGTGTGTGTGTGTATGTGTGTTTATTCTAGGACAGTTCTTTCTTGTAACAGATCCTTTAAAAGTCTTTGTTGTTAGTATTTACTTGTCTATTCTAGTATATAGTAAATTCCTTGAGGGAAGTGGTCATGTTTAGCTGGATTTCAAACTGCAGCAAATCCGTATGTTCTGGGGATGGTCTTTTATTGAGAGGACATGTTTGCATAGTGGACAGAACATAGTATCTAGGCCTGACTCTTGAATTTAATTATTTCTAATCATATATTTCTCAGCAAACATTTATCTACTTTATAATGGAAGTACTTGAGTTCAGATAGATTAATAATGCTAACTCACAGGGTTTTATGCTTGTGGACTGTGCTTGTAAACTGAATTGGTGTACTACATGATGCCATTGGGGTGATGTTTCTCATTTAGAAGGGCCTCAAACATATGCTTCTGATGTTATCTCTAAATGATTTTATACACATAGTCAGAGCACACATTATATGTACCTATTTAAAACTGTTTCCCATTACAAGCCATACTGCTTGAAGTGCACTATAAATAACATCATTTTAAATATGTCAATCCAGTTTTTATAACCTTTATAACCTTTTACTATATCTGGAGTCTAATAAATTGGGAGTGGCTTGGGTCTTCCTTGACCTTATGAGAGGCCTTGTTAGATATTTGTTATTGCTTGCTATATACTTTATCAAATATGTTTGCTAGTAGACCCAGAACTTTCAATTTCTGTATTGAATTTTCTGGTAGGGTAACATAACATGCATTGATGGAAGTATACTTACAAAGTATACTATAAGCAAAGTATATTAGCAAAACCTAGCACACAACAAAAACTAGCACACTTTGCTAGTATACTTTATAAGTATACTTTAATTAATGCATATTATGTTACTCTGCCAGAAAATTCAACAAAGGATTATCCATTTCCATACTTTTTTCATTACATTTCCAGTCTTGTAATAATTAAAGGCAAGTTTCTTTATTTGTGCAACTCCTTGTAAGAATGTGATATTTTTAGCTACAAATGATTCAACAGCAGTTCAGTAGTGGGGAATTGCTCGTAGTGACTAGAACAATGATGGTGGATTATAGTGATGTTTTCTGGCTTGTTATAGTTCTTGGTCATTTATGTGTTTTGAGAGGTAATATATATTTTTTATTGCTTAATTTTAGACTTATAGAGAAGTTGAAAAAATAATAAAGAGAATTTCTGTATACCTTTACTCCTGTGTCCCCTAATGTTCACATATTCCATTATATAATTATAGTACAATTATTAAAACTAAGAAATTAACATTGACATAGTAATCTACAGATTTTATTTCAGTTTCACCAGTTGTCCCACTAAAGATCTTTTTCTTGTCTAGCATACAATCCAGTATCCCACATTGCATTTCATTGTCTCTTTAGTTTTTTACAGTTTGTGGAAGTTCGTTAGTGTTTGTTTTTCATGACATTGACTATTTTGAAGACTACTGGCCATTGAGAGTTTGTAGGACGTCCTTCACTTTGGATTTTTCCTCAAGATTAGATTGAGTTTATACATTTTTGACAAGAATACCATAGAAATGATGTTGTACCTTTCTCAGTGTAACATATTAGAGGATACTTGATATTCTTAAGCATTACTGTGGGTGATATTAACTTTGAATACTTGCTTGAGGTTTTGTTTGCTAGGTTTTGCTAATTTCTCCTTTTGTAATTAATAAGTATCTTGTGAAGAGATATTTTAAGAGAATACAAGTATCTTTTGTTTCATTATACTTTTACCAACTAATTTTAGCAGAGTTAGCAAATACAGTCACATGTTGTTTAACAGTGGGGATATGTTCTGAGAAATCTTCGTTAGGTGATTTCTTTGATGATGTGCAAACATCATAGAGTATACTTAATACAAACCTAGATGACATATCACACCTAGGATATATAGTATGTATAGCCTGTTGCTCCAAGGCTACAAACCCATACAGCATGTTGCTGTGCTGAGTACTGTAGGCAGTTGTAATACAGTGGTAAATCTTTGTGTATCTACACACACCTAAACACAGAATAGGTACAGTAAAAATAAGGTATTATAATCTTATGGGACTACGCTTTTCCTTGTTGACTGAAATATTGTTATGTGGTGCATGATTTTATGGTTGGTTGTATACTCATACATATACATTCACACATCTGCATTTGTCCATCTGTATTTATGTTAAAAGCCATTAGTTCAATGTAGAGTTTACTCTAGCCTTTCCTTCTTTCTTATTTGTAACTTTCTCTGACAGTGAAATCTGGCTTTCATTTTTCACAATATGTTCACTTATTTTCTCAGTCCTAGTATGCATGTGTATTAGGGTTCTCCAGAGGGACAG